>NC_000002.12:94140557-94293015 GCF_000001405.40 Homo sapiens
AAGCTTTCTTTTGATAGAGCAGTTTGAAACACTCTTTTTGTAAAATCTGCAAGAGGATATTTGGATAGCTTTGAGGATTTCGGTGGAAATGGTATTGTCTTCATATAAACTCTAGACAGTAGCATTCTCAGAAGCTTCATTGGGATGTTTCAATTGAAGTCACAGTGTTGAACAGTCCCTTTCATAGAGCAGGTTTGAAACACTCTTTTTGTAGTATCTGGAAGTGGACATTTGGAGCGCTCTCAGGACTACGGTGAAAAAGGAAATATCTTCCAATAAAAGCTAGATAGAAGCAATGTCAGAAACTTTTTCATAATGTATCTACTCAGCTAACAGAGTTGAACCTTTTTTTTGAGAGAGCAGTTTTGAAACAATCTTTTTGTTGGATCTGCAGGTGGATATTTGTCTAGGTTTGAGGATTTCGTTGGAAACGGGATTACATATAAAAAGCAGACAGCAGCATTCCCAGAAACTTCTTTGTGATGTTTGCATTCAAGTCACAGAGTTGAACATTCCCTTTCATAGAGCAGGTTTGAAACACTCTTTTTGTAGTATCTGGATGTGGACATTTGGAGCGCTCTGAGGCCTATGGTGAAAAAGGAAATATCTTCCCCTGAAAACTAGACAGAAGCATTCTCAGAAACTTATTTGTGATGTGCGCCCTCAACTAACAGTGTTGAACCTTTCTTTTGATAGAGTAGTTTTCAAACACTCTTTTTGTAAATCTGCAAGAGGATATTTGGATAGCTTTGAGGATTTCGTTGGAAACGGGATTGTCTTCATATAAACTCTAGACTGTAGCATTCTGATAAGCTTCATTGGGATGTTTCAATTGAAGTCACAGTGTTGAACAGTCCCTTTCATAGAGCAGGTTTGAAACACTCTTTTTGTAGCATCTGGAAGTGGACATTTGGAGCGCTCTCAGGACTACGGTGAAAAAGGAAATATCTTCCAATAAAAGCTAGATAGAAGCAATGTGAGAAACTTTTTCATGATGTATCTACTCAGCTAACAGAGTTGAAACTTTCTTTTGAGAGAGCAGTTTTGAAACACTCTTTTTGTGGAATCTGCAAGTGGATATTTGTCTAGCTTTGAGGATTTCGTTGGAAACGGGATTACCTATAAAAAGCAGACAGCAGCATTCCCAGAAACTTCTTTGTGATGTTTGCATTCAAGTCACAGAGTTGAACATTCCCTTTCATAGAGCAGGTTTGAAACACTCTTTTTGTAGTATCTGGATGTGGACATTTGGAGCGCTTTCAGGCCTATGGTGAAAAAGGAAATATCTTCCCCTGAAAACTAGACAGAAGCATTCTCAGAAACTTATTTATGATGTGCGCCCTCAACTAACAGTGTTGAAGCTTTCTTTTGATAGAGCAGTTTTGAAACATTCTTTTTGTAAAATCTGCAAGAGTATATTTGGATAGCTTTGAGGATTTTGTTGGAAACGGGATTGTATTCATATTAACCATAGACAGTAGCATTCTCAGAAGCTTCATTGGGAGGTTTCAATTGAAGTCACAGTGTTGAACAGTCCCTTTCATAGAGCAGGTTTGCAACACTCTTTTTGTAGCATCTGGAAGTGGACATTTGGAGCGTTCTCAGGACTACGGTGAAAAAGGAAATATCTTCCAATAAAAGCTAGATAGAAGCAATATCAGAAACTTTTTCATGATGTATCTACTCAGCTAAAAGAGTTGAACCATTCTTTTGAGAGAGCAGTTTTGAAACACTATTTTTGTGGAATCTGCAAGTGGATATTTGTCTAGCTTTGAGGATTTCGTTGGAAACGGGATTACATATAAAAAGCAGACAGCAGCATTCCCAGAAAGTTCTTTGTGAAATTAGCATTCAAGTCACAGACTAGAACATTCCCTTTCATAGAGCAGGTTTGAAACACTCTCTTTGTAGTATCTGGATGTGGACATTTGGAGCGCTTTCAGGCCTATGGTGAAAAAGGAAATATCTTCCCCTGAAAACTAGACAGAAGCATTCTCAGAAACTTATTTGTGATGTGCGCCCTCAACTAACAGTGTTGAACCTTTCTTTTGATAGAGCAGTTTTGAAACACTCTTTTTGTAAAATCTGCAAGAGGATATTTGGATAGCTTTGAGGATTTCGTTGGAAAGGGGATTGTCTTCATATAGAATCTAGAAAGAAGCATTCTCAGAAGCTTCATTGGGATGTATCAATTGAAGTCACAGTGTTGAACAGTCCCTTTCATAGAGCAGGTTTGAAACACTCTTTTTGTAGTATCTGGAATTGGACATTTGGAGCGCTCTCAGGACTACGGTGAAAAAGGAAATATATTCCACTGAAAACTAGACAGAAGTAGTCTCAGAAACTTATTTGTGATGTGCGCCCTCAACTAACAGTGTTGAAACTTTCTTTTGATAGAGCAGTTTTGAAACACTCTTTTTGTAAAATCTGCAAGAGGATATTTGGATAGCTTTGAGGATTTCGTTTGAAACGGGATTGTCTTCATATAAAATCTAGACAGAAGCATTCTCAGAAGCTTCATTGGGATGATTCAATTGAAGTCACAGTGTTGAACAGTCCCTTTCATAGAGCATGTTTGAAACACTCTTTTTGTAGTATCTGGAAGTTGACATTTGGAGCGTTTTCAGGACTATGGTGAAAAAGGAAATATCTTCCAAATAAAGCTAGATAGAAGCAATGTCAGAAAATTTTTCATGAGGTATCTACTCAGCTAACAGAATTGAACCTTTCTTTTGAGAGAGCAGTTTTGAAAAACTCTTTTTGTGGAATCTGCAAGTGGATATTTGTCTAGCTTTGAGGATTTCGTTGGAAACGGGATTACATATAAAAAGCAGACAGCAGCATTCCCAGAAACTTCTTTGTGATGTTTGCTTTCAAGTCACAGAGTTGAACATTCCCTTTCGTAGAGCAGGTTTGAAACACTCTTTTTGTAGTATCTGGATGTGGACATTTGGAGCGCTTTGAGGCCTATGGTGAAAAAGGAAATATCTTCCCCTGAAAACTAGACAGAAGCATTCTCAGAAACTTATTTGCGATGTGCACCCTCAACTAACAGTGTTGAAGCTTTCTTTTGATAGAGCAGTTTGAAACACTCTTTTTGTAAAATCTGCAAGAGGATATTTGGATAGCTTTGAGGATTTCGGTGGAAATGGGATTGTCTTCATATAAACTCTAGACAGTAGCATTCTCAGAAGCTTCATTGGGATGTTTCACTTGAAGTCACAGTGTTGAACAGTCCCTTTCATAGAGCAGGTTTGAAACACTCTTTTTGTAGTATCTGGAAGTGGACATTTGGAGCGCTCTCAGGACTACGGTGAAAAAGGAAATATCTTCCAATAAAAGCTAGATAGAAGCAATGTCAGAAACTTCTTCATGATGTATCTACTCAGCTAACAGAGTTGAACCTTTTTTTTGAGAGAGCAGTATTGAAACACTCTTTTTGTTGGATCTGCAGGTGGATATTTGTCTAGGTTTGAGGATTTCGTTGGAAACGGGATTACATATAAAAAGCAGACAGCAGCATTCCCAGAAACTTCTTTGTGATGTTTGCATTCAAGTCACAGAGTTGAACATTCCCTTTCATAGAGCAGGTTTGAAACACTCTTTTTGTAGTATCTGGATGTGGACATTTGGAGCGCTTTCAGGCCTATGGTGAAAAAGGAAATGTCTTCCCCTGAAAACTAGAGAGAAGCATTCTCAGAAACTTATTTGTGATGTGCGACCTCAACTAACAGTGTTGAACCTTTCTTTTGATAGAGCAGTTTTGAAACACTCTTTTTGTAAAATCTGCAAGAGGATATTGGGATAGCTTTGAGGATTTCGTTGGGATTGTCTTCATATAAAATCTAGACAGAAGCATTCTCAGAAGCTTCATTGGGATGTTTCAATTGAAGTCACAGTGTTGAACAGTCCCTTTCATAGAGCAGGTTTGAACAACTCTTTTTGTAGTATCTGGAAGTGGACATTTGGAGCGTTCTCAGGACTACGGTGAAAAAGGAAATAGCTTCCAATAAAAGCTAGATAGAAGCAATGTCAGAAAATTTGTCATGATGTATCTACTCACCTAACAGATTTGAACCTTTCTTTTGAGAGAGCAGTTTTGAAACACTCTTTTTGTGGAATCTGCAAGTGGATATTTGTCTAGCTTTGAGAATTTCGATGGAAACGGGATTACATATAAAAAGCAGACAGCAGCATTCCCAGAAACTTCTTTCTGATGTTTGCATTGAAGTCACAGAGTTGAACATTCCCTTTCATAGAGCAGGTTTGAAACACTCTTTTTGTAGTATCTGGATTTGGACATTTGGAGCGTTTTCAGGCCTATGGTGAAAAAGGTAATATCTTCCACTGAAAACTAGACAGAAGTATTCTCAGAAACTTATTTTTGATGTGCGCCCTCAACTAACAGTGTTGAAGCTTTCTTTTGATAGAGCAGTTTTGAAACATTCTTTTTGTAAAATCTGCAAGAGGATATTTGGATAGCTTTGAGGATTTCGTTGGAAACGGGATTGTCTTCATATTAACCCTAGACAGTAGCATTCTCAGAAGCTTCATTGGGATGTTTCAATTGAAGTCACAGTGTTGAACAGTCCCTTTCATAGAGCAGGTTTGAAACACTCTTTTTTTAGCATCTGGAAGTGGACATTTGGAGCGTTCTCAGGACTACGGTGAAAAAGGAAATATCTTCCAATAAAAGCTAGAAAGAAGCAATGTCAGAAACTTTTTCATCATGTATCTACTCAGCTAAAAGAATTGAACCTTTCTTTTGAGAGAGCAGTTTTGAAACACTCTTTTTGTAAAATCTGCAAGAGGATATTTGGATAGCTTTGAGGATTTCGTTGGAAACGGGATTGTCTTCATATAGAATCTAGACAGAAGCATTCTCAGAAGCTTCATTGGGATGTTTCAATTGAAGTCACAGTGTTGAACATTCCCTTTCATAGAGCAGGTTTGAAACACTCTTTTTGTAGTATCTGGAAGTGGACATTTGGAGCGTTCTCAGGACTACGGTGAAAAAGGAAATATCTTCCAATAAAAGCTAGATAGAAGCAATGTCAGAAACTTTTTCATGATGTATCTACTCAGCTAACAGAGTTGAACATTTTTTTTGAGAGAGCAGTTTTGAAACACTCTTTTTGTGGAATCTGCAGGTGGATATTTGTCTAGCTTTCAGGATTTCGTTGGAAACGGGATTACATATAAAAAGCAGACAGCAGCATTCCCAGAAACTTCATTGTGATGTTTGCATTCAAGTCACAGAGTTGAACATTCCCTTTCATAGAGCAGGTTTGAAACACTCTTTTTGTAGTATCTGGATTTGGACATTAGGAGCGCTTTCAGGCCTATGGTGAAAAAGGAAATATCTTCCACTGAAAACTAGACAGAAGTATTCTCAGAAACTTATTTGTGATGTGCGCCCTCAACTAACAGTGTTGAAGCTTTCTTTTGATAGAGCAGTTTTGAAACATTCTTTTTGTAAAATCTGCAAGAGGATATTTGGATAGGTTTGAGGATTTCGTTGGAAACGGGATTGTCTTCATATTAACCCTAGACAGTAGCATTCTCAGAAGCTTCATTGGGATGTTTCAATTGAAGTCACAGTGTTGAACAGTCCCTTTCTTAGAGCAGGTTTGAAACACTCTTTTTGTAGCATCTGGAAGTGGACATTTGGAGCGTTCTCAGGACTACGGTGAAAAAGGAAATATCTTCCAATAAAAGCTAGATAGAAGCAATATCAGAAACTTCTTCATGATGTATCTACTCAGCTAAAAGAGTTGAACCTTTCTTTTGAGAGAGCAGTTTTGAAACACTCTTTTTGTGGAATCTGCAAGTGGATATTTGTCTAGCTTTGAGGATTTCGTTGGAAACGGGATTACATATAAAAAGCAGACAGCAGCATTCCCAGAAAGTTCTTTGTGAAATTTGCGTTCAAGTCACAGACTTGAACATTCCCTTTCATAGAGCAGGTTTGAAACACTCTTTTTGTAGTATCTGGATGTGGACATTTGAAGCGCTTTCAGGCCTATGGTGAAAAAGGAAATATCTTCCCCTGAAAACTAGACAGAAGCAATCTCAGAAACTTATTTGTGATGTGCGCCCTCAACTAATAGTGTTGAAGCTTTCTTTTGATAGAGCAGTTTTGAAACACTCTTTTTGTAAAATCTGCAAGAGGATATTTGGATAGCTTTGAGGATTTCGGTGGAAACGGGATTGTCTTCATATAGAATCTAGACAGAAGCATTCTCTGAAGCTTCATTGGGATGTTTCAATTGAAGTCACAGTGTTGAACAGTCCCTTTCATAGAGCATGTTTGAA
Organism: Homo sapiens; assembly: GCF_000001405.40. NCBI lineage: Eukaryota > Metazoa > Chordata > Mammalia > Primates > Hominidae > Homo > Homo sapiens. The sequence goes on from NC_000002.12 coordinate 94,146,873, forward strand.
ACACTCTTTTTGTAGTATCTGGAAGTGGACATTTGGAGGGTTCTCAGGACTACGGTGAAAAAGGAAATATCTTCCAATAAAAGCTAGATAGAAGCAATGTAAGAAAATTTTTCATGATGTATCTACTCAGCTAACAGAGTTGAACCTTTCTTTTGATAGAGCAGTTTTGAAACACTCTTTTTGTGGAATCTGCAAGTGGATATTTGTCTAGCTTTGAGGATTTCGTTGGAAACGGGATTACGTATAAAAAGCAGACAGCAGCATTCCCAGAAACTTCTTTGTGATATTTGCATTCAAGTCACAGAGTTGAACATTCCCTTTCATAGAGCAGGTTTGAAACACTCTTTTTGTAGTATCTGGATGTGGACATTTGGAGCGCTTTCAGGCCTATGGTGAAAAAGGAAATATCTTCCCCTGAAAACTAGACAGAAGCATTCTCAGAAACTTATTTGTGATGCGCACCCTCAACTAACAGTGTTGAAGCTTTCTTTTGATAGAGCAGTTTTGAAACACTCTTTTTGTAAAATCTGCAAGAGGATATTTGGATAGCTTTGAGGATTTCGGTGGAAATGGGATTGTCTTCATATAAACTCTAGACAGTAGCATTCTCAGAAGATTCATTGGGGTGTTTCAATTGAAGTCACAGTGTTGAACATTCCCTTTCATAGAGCAGGTTTGAAACACTCTTTTTGTAGTATCTGGAAGTGGACATTTGGAGCGCTCTCAGGACTACAGTGAAAAAGGAAATATCTTCCAATAAAAGCTAGATAGAAGCAATGTCAGAAACATTTTCATGATGTATCTACTCAGCTAACAGAGTTGAACATTTTTTTTGAGAGAGCAGTTTTGAAACACTCTTTTTGTGGAATCTGCAGGTGGATATTTGTCTAGCTTTCAGGATTTCGTTGGAAACGGGATTACATATAAAAAGCAGACAGCAGCATTCCCAGAAACTTCATTGTGATGTTTGCATTCAAGTCACAGAGTTGAACATTCCCTTTCATAGAGCAGGTTTGAAACACTCTTTTTGTAGTATCTGGATGTGGACATTTGGAGCGCTTTCAGGCCTATGGTGAAAAAGGAAATATCTTCCCCTGAAAACTAGACAGAAGCATTCTCAGAAACTTATTTCTGATGTGCGCCCTCAACTAACAGTGTTAAACCTTTCTTTTGATAGAGCAGTTTTGAAACATTCTTTTTGTAAAATCTGCAAGAGGATATTTGGATAGGTTTGAGGATTTCCTTGGAAACGCGATTGTCTTCATATTAACCCTAGACAGTAGCATTCTCAGAAGCTTCATTGGGATGTTTCAATTGAAGTCACAGTGTTGAACAGTCCCTTTCTTAGAGCAGCTTTGAAACACTCTTTTTGTAGCATCTGGAAGTGGACATTTGGAGCGTTCTCAGGAATACGGTGAAAAAGGAAATATCTTCCAATAAAAGCTAGATAGAAGCAATGTCAGAAACGTTTTCATGATGTATCTACTCAGCTAAAAGAGTTGAACCTTTCTTTTGAGAGAGCAGTTTTGAAACACTCTTTTTTTGGAATCTGCAAGTGGATATTTGTCTAGCTTTGTGGATTGCGTTGGAAACGGGATTACATATAAAAAGCAGACAGCAGCATTCCCAGAAAGTTCTTTGTGAAATTTGCATTCAAGTCACAGACTTGAACATTCCCTTTCATAGAGCAGGTTTGAAACACTCTTTTTGTAGTATCTGGATGTGGACATTTGGAGCGCTTTCAGGCCTATGGTGAAAAAGGAAATATCTTCCCCTGAAAACTAGACAGAAGCATTCTCAGAAACTTATTTGTGATGTGCGCCCTCAACTAACAGTGTTGAAGCTTTCTTTTGATAGAGCAGTTTTGAAACACTCTTTTTGTAAAATCTGCAAGAGGATATTTGGATAGCTTTGAGGATTTCGTTGGAAACGGGATTGTCTTCATATAAAATCTAGACAGAAGCATTCTCAGAAGCTTCATTGGGATGTTTCAATTGAAGTCACAGTGTTGAACAGTCCCTTTCATAGAGCATGTTTGAAACACTCTTTTAGTAGTATCTGGAAGTGGACATTTGGAGCGCTCTCAGGACTACGGTGAAAAAGGAAATATCTTCCAAATAAAGCTAGATAGAAGCAATGTGAGAAAATTTTTCATGATGTATCTACTCAGCTAACAGAGTTGAACCTTTCTTTTGAGAGAGCCTTTTAGAAACACTCTTTTTGTGGACTCTGCAAGTGTATATTTGTCTAGCTTTGAGGATTTCGTTGGAAACAGGATTACATATAAAAAGCAGACAGCAGCATTCCCAGAAACTTCTTTGTGATGTTTGCATTCAAGTCACAGAGTTGAACATTCCCTTTCATAGAGCAGGTTTGAAACACTCTTTTTGTAGTATCTGGATGTGGACATTTGGAGCGCTTTCAGGCCTATGGTGAAAAAGGAAATATCTTCCCCTGAAAACTAGACAGAAGCATTCTCAGAAACTTATTTGTGATGTGCGCCCTCAACTAACAGTGTTGAAGCTTTCTTTTGATAGAGCAGTTTTCAAACACTCTTTTTGTAAAATCTGCAAGAGGATATTTGGATAGCTTTGAGGATTTCGTTGGAAACGGGATTGTCTTCATATAAAATCTAGACAGAAGCATTCTCAGAAGCTTCATTGGGATGTTTCAATTGAAGTCACAGTGTTGAACAGTCCCTTTCATAGAGCAGGTTTGAAACACTCTTTTTGTAGTATCTGGAAGTGGACATTTGGAGCGTTCTCAGGACTACGGTGAAAAAGCAAATATCTTCCAATAAAAGCTAGATAGAAGCAATGTCAGAAACTTTTTCATGATGTATCTACTCAGCTAACAGAGTTGAACCTTTCTTTTGAGAGAGCAGTTTTGAAACACTCTTTTTGTGGAATCTGCAAGTGGATATTTGTCTAGATTTGAGGATTTCGTTGGAAACGGGATTACATATAAAAAGCAGACAGCAGCATTCCCAGAAACTTCTTTGTGATGTTTGCATTCAAGTCACAGAGTTGAACATTCCCTTTCATAGAGCAGGTTTGAAACACTCTTTTTGTAGTATCTGGTTGTGGAAATTTGGAGCGCTGTCAGGCCTATGGTGAAAAAGGAAATATCTTCCACTGAAAACTAGACAGAAGCATTCTCAGAAACTTATTTGTGATGTGCGCCCTCAACTAACAGTGTTGAACTTTTCTTTTGATGGAGCAGTTTTGAAACACTCTTTTTGTAAAATCTGCAAGAGGATATTTGGATAGCTTTGAGGATTTCTTTGGAAACGGGATTGTCTTCATATTAACCCTAGACAGTAGCATTCTCAGAAGCTTCATTGGGATGTTTCAATTGAAGTCACAGTGTTGAACAGTCCCTTTCATAGAGCAGGTTTGAAACACTCTTTTTGTAGCATCTGGAAGTGGTCATTTTGAGCGTTCTCAGGACTACGGTGAAAAGGGAAATATCTTCCAATAAAAGCTAGATAGAAGCAATGTCAGAAACTTTTTCATGATGTATCTACTGAGCTAAAAGAGTTGAACTTTTCTTTTGAGAGAGCAGTTTTGAAACACTCTTTTTGTGGAATCTGCAAGTGGATATTTGTCTAGCTTTGAGGATTTCGTTGGAAACGGGATTACATATAAAAAGCAGACAGCAGCATTCCCAGAAACTTCTTTGTGATGTTTGCATTCAAGTCACAGAGTTGAACATTCCCTTTCATAGAGCAGGTTTGAAACACTCTTTTTGTAGTATCTGGATGTGGACATCTGGAGCGCTTTCAGGCCTATGGTGAAAAAGGAAATATCTTCCCCTGAAAACTAGACAGAAGCATTCTCAGAAACTTATTTGTGATGTGCGCCCTCAACTAACAGTGTTGAACGTTTCTTTTGATAGAGCAGTTTTGAAACACTCTTTTTGTAAAATCTGCAAGAGGATATTTGGATAGATTTGAGGATTTCGTTGGAAACGGGATTGTCTTCATATAAAATCTAGACAGAAGCATTCTCAGAAGCTTCATTGGGATGTTTCAATTGAAGTCACAGTGTTGAACAGTCCCTTTCATAGAGCAGGTTTGAAACACACTTTTTGTAGTATCTGGAATTGGACATGTGGAGCGTTCTCAGGACTATGGTGAAAAAGCAAATATCTTCCAATAAAAGCTAGATAGAAGCAATGTCAGAAAATTTTTCATGATGTATCTACTCAGCTAACAGAGTTGAACCTTTCTTTGAGAGAGCAGTTTTGAAACACTCTTTTTGTGGAATCTGCAAGTGGATATTTGTCTAGCTTTGAGGATTTCGTTGGAAACGCGATTACATATAAAAAGCAGACAGCAGCATTCCCAGAAACTTCTTTGTGATGTTTGCATTCAAGTCACAGAGTTGAACATTCCCTTTCATAGAGCAGGTTTGAAACACTCTTTTTGTAGTATCTGGATGTGGACATTTGGAGCGCTGTCAGGCCTATGGTGAAAAAGGAAATATCTTCCCCTGAAAACTAGACAGAAGCATTCTCAGAAACTTATTTGTGATGTGCGCCCTCAACTAACAGTGTTGAACTTTTCTTTTGATGGAGCAGTTTTGAAACACTCTTTTTGTAAAATCTGCCAGAGGATATTTGGATAGCTTTGAGGATTTCTTTTGAAACGGGATTGTCTTCATATAAAATCTAGACAGAACCATTCTCAGAAGCTTCATTGGGATGTTTCAACTGAAGTCACAGTGTTGAACAGTCCCTTTCATAGAGCATGTTTGAAACACTCTTTTTGTAGTATCTGGAAGTTGACATTTGGAGCGTTTTCAGGACTACGGTGAAAAAGGAAATATCTTCCAAAGAAAGCTAGATAGAAGCAATGTCAGAAAATTTTTCATGATGTATCTACTCAGCTAACAGAGTTGAACCTTTCTTTTGAGAGAGCTGTTTTGAAACACTCTTTTTGTGGAATCTGCAAGTGGATATTTGTCTAGCTTTGAGGATTTCGTTGGAAACGGGATTACATATAAAAAGCAGACAGCAGCATTCCCAGAAACTTCTTTGTGATGTTTGCATTCAGGTCACAGAGTTGAACATTCCCTTTCATAGAGCAGGTTTGAAACACTCTTTTTGTAGTATCTGGATGTGGACATTTGGAGCGCTTTCAGGCCTATGGTGAAAAAGGAAATATCTTCCCCTGAAAACTAGACAGAAGCATTCTCAGAAACTTATTTGTGATGTGCGCCCTCAACTAACAGTGATGAACCTTTCTTTTGATAGAGCCGTTTTGAAACACTCTTTTTGTAAAATCTGCAAGAGGATATTTGGATAGCTTTGAGGATTTCGGTGGAAATGGGATTGTCTTCATATAAACTCTAGACAGTAGCATTCTCAGAAGCTTCATTGGGATGTTTCAATTGAAGTCACAGTGTTGAACAGTCCCTTTCATAGAGCAGGTTTGAAACACTCTTTTTGTAGTATCTGGAAGTGGACAATTGGAGCGCTCTCAGGACTACGGTGAAAAAGGAAATATCTTCCAATAAAAGCTAGATAGAAGCAATGTCAGAAACTTTTTCATGATGTATCTACTCAGCTAACAGAGTTGAAACTTTTTTTTGACAGAGCAGTTTTGAAACACTCTTTTTGTGGAATCTGCAGGTGGATATTTGTCTAGCTTTGAGGATTTCGTTGGAAACGGGATTACATATAATAAGCAGACAGCAGCATTCCCAGAAACTTCTTTGTGATGTTTGCATTCAAGTCACAGAGTTGAACATTCCCTTTCATAGAGCAGGTTTGAAACACTCTTTTTGTAGTATCTGGATGTGGACATATGGAGCGTTTTCAGGCCTATGGTGAAAAAGGAAATATCTTCCACTGAAAACTAGACAGAAGTATTCTCAGAAACTTATTTGTGATGTGCGCCCTCAACTAACAGTGTTGCAGCTTTCTTTTGAAAGAGCAGTTTTGAAACATTCTTTTTGTAAAATCTGCAAGAGGATATTTGGATAGCTTTGAGGATTTCGTTGGAAACGGGATTGTCTTCATATTAACCCTAGACAGTAGCATTCTCAGAAGCTTCATTGGGATGTTTCAATTGAAGTCACAGTGTTGAACAGTCCCTTTCATAGAGCAGGTTTGAAACACTCTTTTTTTAGCATCTGGAAGTGGACATTTGGAGCGTTCTCAGGACTACGGTGAAAAAGGAAATATCTTCCAATAAAAGCTAGATAGAAGCAATGTCAGAAACTTTTTCATCATGTATCTACTCAGCTAAAAGAATTGAACCTTTCTTTTGAGAGAGCAGTTTTGAAACACTCTTTTTGTAAAATCTGCAAGAGGATATTTGGATAGCTTTGAGGATTTCGTTGGAAACGGGATTGTCTTCATATAGAATCTAGACAGAAGCATTCTCAGAAGCTTCATTGGGATGTTTCAATTAAAGTCACAGTGTTGAATATTCCCTTTCATAGAGCAGGTTTGAAACACTCTTTTTGTAGTATCTGGAAGTGGACATTTGTAGCGCTCTCAGGACTATGGTGAAAAAGGAAATATCTTCCAATAAAAGCTAGATAGAAGCAATGTCAGAAACTTTTTCATGATGTATCTACTCAGCTAACAGAGTTGAACATTTTTTTTGAGAGAGCAGTTTTGAAACACTCTTTTTGTGGAATCTGCAGGTGGATATTTGTCTAGCTTTCAGGATTTCGTTGGAAACGGGATTACATATAAAAAGCAGACAGCAGCATTCCCAGAAACTTCATTGTGATGTTTGCATTCAAGTCACAGAGTTGAACATTCCCTTTCATAGAGCAGGTTTGAAACATTCTTTTTGTAGTATCTGGATGTGGACATTTGGAGCGCTTTCAGGCCTATGGTGAAAAAGGAAATATCTTCCCCTGAAAACTAGACAGAAGCATTCTCAGAAACTTATTTGTGATGTGCGCCCTCAACTAACAGTGTTAAACCTTTCTTTTGATAGAGTAGTTTTGAAACACTCTTTTTGTAAAATCTGCAAGAGGATATTTGGATAGCTTTGAGGATTTCGTTGGAAACGGGATTGTCTTCATATAAACTCTAGACAGTAGCATTCTCAGAAGCTTCATTGGGATGTTTCAACTGAAGTCACAGTGTTGAACAGTCCCTTTCATAGAGCAGGTTTGAAACACTCTTTTTGTAGTATCTGGAAGTGGACATTTGGAGCGTTCTCAGGACTACGGTGAAAAAGGAAATATCTTCCAATAAAAGCTAGATAGAAGCAATGTCAGAAACTTTTTCATGATGTATCTACTCAGCTAACAGAGTTGAACCTTTCTTTTGAGAGAGCAGTTTTGAAACACTCTTTTTGTGGAATCTGCAAGTGGATATTTATCTACCTTTGAGGATTTCGTTGGAAACGGGATTACATATAAAAAGCAGGCAGCAGCATTCCCAGAAACTTCTTTGTGATGTTTGCATTCAAGTCACAGAGTTGAACATTCCCTTTCATAGAGCAGGTTTGAAACACTCTTTTTGTAGTATCTGGATTTGGACATTAGGAGCGCTTTCAGGCCCATGGTGAAAAAGGAAATATCTTCCACTGAAAACTAGACAGAAGTATTCTCAGAAACTTATTTGTGATGTGCGCCCTCAACTAACAGTGTTGAAGCTTTATTTTGATAGAGCAGTTTTGAAACATTCTTTTTGTAAAATCTGCAAGAGGATATTTGGATAGGTTTGAGGATTTCGTTGGAAACGGGATTGTCTTCATATTAACCCTAGACAGTAGCATTCTCAGAAGCTTCATTGGGATGTTTCAATTGAAGTCACAGTGTTGAACAGTCCCTTTCATAGAGCAGGTTTGAAACACTCTTTTTGTAGTATCTGGAAGTGGACATTTGGAGCTACGGACTACGGTGAAAAAGGTAATATCTTCCAATAAAAGCTAGATAGAAGCAATGTCGGAAACTTTTTCATGATGTATCTACTCAGCTAACAGAGTTGAACCTTTCTTTTGAGGCAGCAGTTTTCAAACACTCTTTTTGTGGAATCTGCAAGTGGATATTTGTCTAGCTTTGAGGACTTCGTTGGAAACGGGATTACATAAGAAAAGCAGACAGCAGCATTCCCAGAAACTTCTTTGTGATGTTTGCATTCAAGTCACAGAGTTGAACATTCCCTTTCATAGAGCAGGTTTGAAACACTCTTTTTGTAGTATCTGGATGTGGACATTTGGAGCGCTTTCAGGCCTATGCTGAAAAAGGAAATATCTTCCCCTGAAAACTAGACAGAAGCATTCTCAGAAACTTATTTGTGATGTGCGCCCTCAACTAACAGTGTTGAAGCTTTCTTTTGATAGAGCAGTTTTGAAACACTCTTTTTGTAAAATCTGCAAGAGGATATTTGGATAGCTTTGAGGATTTCGTTGGAAACGGGATTGTCTTCATATAAACTCTAGACAGTAGCATTCTCAGAAGCTTCATTGGGATGTTTCAATTGAAGTCACAGTGTTGAACAGTCCCTTTCATAGAGCAGGTTTGAAACACTCTTTTTGTAGCATCTGGAAGTGGACATTTGGAGCGCTCTCAGGACTATGGTGAAGAAGGAAATATCTTCCAATAAAAGCTAGATAGAAGCAATATCAGAAACTTTTTCATGATGTATCTACTCAGATAACAGAGTTGAACCTTTTTTTTTAGAGAGCAGTTTTGAAACACTCTTTTTGTGGAATCTGCAAGTGGATATTTGTCTAGCTTTGAGGATTTCGTTGGAAACGGGATTGTCTTCATATAAAATCTAGACAGAAGCATTCTCAGAAGCTTCATTGGGATGTTTCAACTGAAGTCACAGTGTTGAACAGTCCCTTTCATAGAGCAGGTTTGAAACACACTTTTTGTAGTATCTGGAAGTGGACATTTGGAGCGCTCTCAGGACTACGGTGAAAAAGGAAATATCTTCCAATAAAAGCTAGATAGAAGCAATGTCAGAAACTTTTTCATGATGTATCTACTCAGCTAACAGAGTTGAACCTTTCATTTGAGAGAGCAGTTTTGAAACACTCTTTTTGTAAAATCTGCAAGACGATATTTGGATAGCTTTGAGGATTTCGGTGGAAATGGGATTGTCTTCATATAAACTCTAGACAGTAGCATTCTCAGAAGCTTCATTGGGATGTTTCAATTGAAGTCACAGTGTTGAACAGTCCCTTTCATAGAGCAGGTTTGAAACACTGTTTTTGTAATATCTGGAAGTGGACATTTGGAGCGCTCTCAAGACTACGGTGAAAAAGGAAATATCTTCCAATAAAAGCTAGATAGAAGCAATGTCAGAAACTTTTTCATGATGTATCTACTAAGCTAGCAGAGTTGAACCTTTCTTTTGAGAGAGCAAATTGAAACACTCTTTTTGTGGAATCTGCAAGTGGATATTTGTCTAGCTTTGAGGATTTCGTTGGAAACGGGATTACATATGAAAAGCAGACAGCAGCATTCCCAGAAACTTCTTTGTGATGTTTGCATTCAAGTCACAGAGTTGAACATTCCCTTTCATAGAGCAGGTTTGAAACACTCTTTTTGTAGTATCTGGATGTGGACATTTGGAGCGCTTTCAGGCCTATGGTGAAAAAGGAAATAACTTCCCCTGAAAACTAGACAGAAGCATTCTCAGAAACTTATTTGTGATGTGCGCCCTCAACTAACAGTGTTGAAGCTTTCTTTTCATAGAGCAGTTTTGCAACACTCTTTTTGTAAAATCTGCAAGAGGATATTTGGATAGCTTTGAGGATTTCGGTGGAAATGGGATTGTCTTCATATAAACTCTAGACAGTAGCATTCTCAGAAGCTTCATTGGGATGTTTCAATTGAAGTCACAGTGTTGAACAGTCCCTTTCATAGAGCAGGTTTGAAACACACTTTTTGTAGTATCTGGAAGTGGACATTTGGAGCGCTCTCAGGACTACGGTGAAAACGGAAATATCTTCCAATAAAAGCTAGATAGAAGCAATGTCAGAAACTTTTTCATGATGTATCTACCCAGCTAACAGAGTTGAACCTTTCTTTTGAGAGAGCACTTTTGAAACACTCTTTTTGTGGAATCTGCAAGTGGATATTTGTCTAGTTCTGAGGATTTCGTTGGAAACGGGATTACATATAAAAAGCAGACAGCAGCATTCCCAGAAACTTCTTTGTGATGTTTGCATTCAAGTCACAGTGTTGAACATTCCCTTTCATAGAGCAGGTTTGAAACACTCTTTTTGTAGTATCTGGATGTGGACATTTGGAGCGCTTTCAGGCCTATGGTGAAAAAGGAAATATCTTCCCCTGAAAACTAGACAGAAGTATTCTCAGAAAGTTATTTGTGATGTGCGCCCTCAACTAACAGTGTTGAAGCTTTCTTTTGATAGAGCAGTTTTGAAACATTCTTTTTGTAAAATCTGCAAGAGGATATTTGGATAGCTTTGAGGATTTCTTTGGAAACGGGATTGTCTTCATATTAACCCTAGACAGTAGCATTCTCAGAAGCTTCATTGGGATGTTTCAATTGAAGTCACAGTGTTGAACAGTCCCTTTCATAGAGCAGGTTTGAAACACTCTTTTTGTAGTATCTGGAAGTGGACATTTGGAGCGCTCTCAGGACTACGGTGAAAAAGGTAATATCTTCCAATAAAAGCTAGATAGAAGCAATGTCAGAAACTTTTTCATGATGTATCTACTCAGCTAACAGAGTTGAACCTTTCTTTTGAGAGAGCAGTTTTGAAGCACTCTTTTTGTGGAATCTGCAAGTGGATATTTGTCTAGCTTTGAGGATTTCGTTGGAAACGGGATTACATATAAAAAGCAGACAGCAGCATTCCCAGAAACTTCTTTGTGATATTTGCATTCAAGTCACAGACTTGAACATTCCCTTTCATAGAGCAGGTTTGAAACACTCTTTTTGTAGTATCTGGATGTGGACATTTGGAGCGCTTTCAGGCCTATGGTGAAAAAGGAAATATCTTCCCCTGAAAACTAGATAGAAGCATTCTCAGAAACTTATTTGTGATGTGCGCCCTCAACTAACAGTGTTGAACCTTTCTTTTGATAGAGCAGTTTTGAAACACTCTTTTTGTAAAATCTGCAAGAGGATATTTGGATAGCTTTGAGGATTTCGTTGGAAATGGGATTGTCTTCATATTAACCCTAGACAGTAGCATTCTCAGAACCTTCATTGGGATGTTTCAATTGAAGTCACAGTGTTGAACAGTCCCTTTCATAGAGCAGGTTTGAAACACTCTTTTTGTAGCATCTGGAAGTGGACATTTGCAGCGTTCTCAGGACTACGGTGAAAAAGGAAATATCTTCCAATAAAAGTTAGATAGAAGCAATGTCAGAAACTTTTTCATCATGTATCTACTCAGCTAACAGAGTTGAACCTTTCTTTTCACAGAGCAGTTTTGAAACACTCTTTTTGTGGAATCTGCAAGTGGATATTTGTCTAGCTTTGAGGATTTCGTTGGAAACAGGATTACATATAAAAAGCAGACAGCAGCATTCCCAGAAACTTCTCTGTGATGTTTGCATTCAAGTCACAGAGTTGAACATTCCCTTTCATAGAGCAGGTTTGAAACACTCTTTTTGTAGTATCTGGATGTGGACATTTGGAGCGCTTTCAGGCCTATGGTGAAAAAGGATATATCTTCCCCTGAAAACTAGACAGAAGCATTCTCAGAAACTTATTTGTGATGTGCGCCCTCAACTAACAGTGTTGAAGCTTTCTTTTGATAGAGCAGTTTTCAAACACTCTTTTTGTAAAATCTGCAAGAGGATATTTGGATAGTTTTGAGGATTTCGTTGGAAACAGGATTGTCTTCATATAAACTCTAGACAGTAGCATTCTCAGAAGCTTCATTGGGATGTTTCAATTGAAGTCACAGTGTTGAACAGTCCCTTTCATAGAGCAGGTTTGAAACACTCTTTTTGTAGTATCTGGAAGTGGACATTTGGAGCACTCTCAGGACTACGGTGAAAAAGGTAATATCTTCCAATAAAAGCTAGATAGAAGCAATGTCAGAAACTTTTTCATGATGTATCTACTCAGCTAACAGAGTTGAACCTTTCTTTTGAGGCAGCAGTTTTGAAACACTCTTTTTGTGGAATCTGCAAGTGGATATTTGTCTAGCTTTGAGGACTTCGTTGGAAACGGGATTACATAAGAAAAGCAGACAGCAGCATTCCCAGAAACTTCTTTGTGATGTTTGCATTCAAGTCACAGAGTTGAACATTCCCTTTCATAGAGCAGGTTTGAAACACTCTTTTTGTAGTATCTGGATGTGGACATTTGGAGCGCTTTCAGGCCTATGCTGAAAAAGGAAATATCTTCCCCTGAAAACTAGACAGAAGCATTCTCAGAAACTTATTTGTGATGTGCACCCTCAACTGACAGTGTTGAAGCTTTCTTTTGATAGAGCAGTTTTGAAACACTCTTTTTGTAAAATCTGCAAGAGGATATTTGGATAGCTTTGAGGATTTCGTTGGAAACGGGATTGTCTTCATATAAACTCTAGACAGTAGCATTCTCAGAAGCTTCATTGGGATGTTTCAATTGAAGTCACAGTGTTGAACAGTCCCTTTCATAGAGCAGGTTTGAAACACTCTTTTTGTAGCATCTGGAAGTGGACATTTGGAGCGCTCTCAGGACTACGGTGAAAAAGGAAATATCTTCCAATAAAAGCTAGATAGAAGCAATGTCAGAAACTTTTTCATCATGTATCTACTCAGCTAAAAGAGTTGAACCTTTCTTTTGAGAGAGCAGTTTTGAAACACTCTTTTTGTGGAATCTGCAAGTGGATATTTGTCTAGCTTTGAGGATTTCGTTGGAAACGGGATTACATATAAAAAGCAGACAGCAGCATTCCCAGAAACTTTTTTGTGATGTTTGCATTCAAGTCACAGAGTTGAACATTCCCTTTCATAGAGCAGGTTTGAAACACTCTTTTTGTAGTATCTGGATGTGGACATTTGGAGCGCTTTCAGGCCTATGGTGAAAAAGGAAATATCTTCCCCTGATAACTAGACAGAAGCATTCTCAGAAACTTATTTGTGATGTGCGCCCTCAACTAACAGTGTTGAACCTTTCTTTTGATAGAGCAGTTTAGAAACACTCTTTTTGTAAAATCTGCAAGAGGATATTTGGATAGCTTTGAGGATTTCGTTGGAAACGGGATTGTCTTCATATAAAATCTAGACAGAAGCATTCTCAGAAGCTTCATTGGGATGTTTCAATTGAAGTCACAGTGTTGAACAGTCCCTTTCATAGAGCATGTTTGAAACACTCTTTTTGTAGTATCTGGAAGTGGACATTTGGAGCGTTCTCAGGACTACGGTGAAAAAGGAAATATCTTCCAAATAAAGCTAGATAGAAGAAATGTCAGAAAATTTTTCATGATGTATCTACTCAGCTAACAGAGTTGAACCATTCTTTTCAGAGAGCAGTTTTGAAACACTCTTTTTGTGGAATCTGCAAGTGGATATTTGTCTAGCTTTGAGGATTTCGTTGGAAACAGGATTACATATAAAAAGCAGACAGCAGCATTCCCAGAAACTTCTTTGTGATGTTTGCATTCAAGTCACAGAGTTGAACATTCCCTTTCATAGAGCAGGTTTGAAACACTCTTTTTGTAGTATCTGGATGTGGACATTTGGAGCGCTTTCAGGCCTATGGTGAAAAAGGAAATATCTTCCCCTGAAAACTAGACAGAAGCATTCTCAGAAACTTATTTGTGATGTGCGCCCTCAACTAACAGTGTTGAAGCTTTCTTTTGATAGAGCAGTTTTCAAACACTCTTTTTGTAAAATCTGCAAGAGGATATTTGGATAGTTTTGAGGATTTCATTGGAAACGGGATTGTCTTCATATAAACTCTAGACAGTAGCATTCTCAGAAGCTTCATTGGGATGTTTCAATTGAAGTCACAGTGTTGAACAGTCCCTTTCATAGAGCAGGTTGGAAACACTCATTTGGTAGTATCTGGAAGTGGACATTTTGAGCGCTCTCAGGACTACGGTGAAAAAGGAAATATCTTCCAATAAAAGCTAGATAGAAGCAATGTCAGAAACTTTTTCATGATGTATCTACTCAGCTAACAGAGTTGAACCTTTCTTTTGAGAGAGCAGTTTTGAAACACTCTTTTTGTGGAATCTGCAAGTGGATATTTGTCTAGCTTTGAGGATTTCGTTGGAAACGGGATTACATATAAAAAGCAGACAGCAGCATTCCCAGAAACTTCTTTGTGATGTTTGCATTCAAGTCACAGAGTTGAACATTCCCTTTCATAGAGCAGGTTTGAAACACTCTTTTTGTAGTATCTGGATGTGGACATTTGGAGCGCTTTCAGGCCTATGGTGAAAAAGGAAATATCTTCCCCTGAAAACTAGACAGAAGCATTCTCAGAAACTTATTTGTGATGTGCGCCCTCAACTAACAGTGTTGAAGCTTTCTTTTGATAGAGCAGTTTTCAAACACTCTTTTTGTAAAATCTGCAAGAGGATATTTGGATAGTTTTGAGGATTTCATTGGAAACGGGATTGTCTTCATATAAACTCTAGACAGTAGCATTCTCAGAAGCTTCATTGGGATGTTTCAATTGAAGTCACAGTGTTGAACAGTCCCTTTCATAGAGCAGGTTTGAAACACTCTTTTTGTAGTATCTGGAAGTGGACATTTGGAGCGCTCTCAGGACTACGGTGAAAAAGGGAATATCTTCCAATAAAAGCTAGATAAAAGAAATGTCAGAAACTTTTTCATGAGGTATCTACTCAGCTAAAAGTGTTGAACCTTTCTTTTGAGAGAGCAGTTTTGAAACACTCTTTTTGTGGAATCTGCAAGTGGATATTTGTCTAGCTTTGAGGATTTCGTTGGAAACGGGATTACATATAAAAAGCAGACAGCAGCATTCCCAGAAACTTCTTTGTGATGTTTGTATTCAAGTCACAGAGTTGAACATTCCCTTTCATAGAGCAGGTTTGAAACACTCTTTTTGTAGTATCTGGATGTGGACATTTGGAGCGCTTTCAGGCCTATGGTGAAAAAGGAAATATCTTCCCCTGAACACTAGACAGAAGCATTCTCAGAAACTTATTTGTGATGTGCGCCCTCAACTAACAGTGTTGAACCTTTCTTTTGGTAGAGCAGTTTTGAAACACTCTTTTTGTAAAATCTGCAAGAGGATATTTGGATAGATTTGAGGATTTCGTTGGAAACGGGATTGTCTTCATATAAAATCTAGACAGAAGCATTCTCAGAAGCTTCATTGGGATGTTTCAATTGAAGTCACAGTGTTGAACAGTCCCTTACATAGAGCATGTTTGAAACACTCTTTTTGTAGTATCTGGAAGTGGACATTTGGAGCGTTCTCAGGACTACGGTGAAAAAGGAAATATCTTCCAAATAAAGCTAGATAGAAGCAATGTCAGAAAATTGTTCATGATGTATCTACTCAGCTAACAGAGTTGAACCTTTCTTTTGAGAGAACAGTTTTGAAACACACTTTTTGTGGAATATGCAAGTGGATATTTGTCTAGCTTTGAGGATTTCGTTGGAAACGGGATTACATATAAAAGGCAGACAGAAGCATTCCCAGAAACTTCTTTGTGATGTTTGCA
The DNA here is from genome assembly GCF_000001405.40 of Homo sapiens. NCBI lineage: Eukaryota > Metazoa > Chordata > Mammalia > Primates > Hominidae > Homo > Homo sapiens. Next base: position 94,162,465 of record NC_000002.12, read on the forward strand.
TTCAAGTCACAGAGTTGGACATTCCCTTTCATAGAGCAGGTTTGAAACACTCTTTTTGTAGTATCTGGATGTGGACATTTGGAGCGCTTTCAGGCCTATGCTGAAAAAGGAAATATCTTCCCCTGAAAACTAGACAGAAGCATTCTCAGAAACTTATTTGTGATGTGCGCCCTCAACTAACAGTGTTGAAGCTTTCTTTTGATAGAGCAGTTTTCAAACACTCTTTTTGTAAAATCTGCAAGAGGATATTTGGATAGTTTTGAGGATTTCGTTGGAAACAGGATTGTCTTCATATAAACTCTAGACAGTAGCATTCTCAGAAGCTTCATTGGGATGTTTCAATTGAAGTCACAGTGTTGAACAGTCCCTTTCATAGAGCAGGTTTGAAACACTCTTTTTGTAGTATCTGGAAGTGGACATTTGGAGCACTCTCAGGACTATGGTGAAAAAGGTAATATCTTCCAATAAAAGCTAGATAGAAGCAATGTCAGAAACTTTTTCATGATGTATCTACTCAGCTAACAGAGTTGAACCTTTCTTTTGAGGCAGCAGTTTTGAAACACTCTTTTTGTGGAATCTGCAAGTGGATATTTGTCTAGCTTTGAGGACTTCGTTGGAAACGGGATTACATAAGAAAAGCAGACAGCAGCATTCCCAGAAACTTCTTTGTGATGTTTGCATTCAAGTCACAGAGTTGAACATTCCCTTTCATAGAGCAGGTTTGAAACACTCTTTTTGTAGTATCTGGATGTGGACATTTGGAGCGCTTTCAGGCCTATGCTGAAAAAGGAAATATCTTCCCCTGAAAACTAGACAGAAGCATTCTCAGAAACTTATTTGTGATGTGCACCCTCAACTGACAGTGTTGAAGCTTTCTTTTGATAGAGCAGTTTTGAAACACTCTTTTTGTAAAATCTGCAAGAGGATATTTGGATAGCTTTGAGGATTTCGTTGGAAACGGGATTGTCTTCATATATACTCTAGACAGTAGCATTCTCAGAAGCTTCATTGGGATGTTTCAATTGAAGTCACAGTGTTGAACAGTCCCTTTCATAGAGCAGGTTTGAAACACTCTTTTTGTAGCATCTGGAAGTGGACATTTGGAGCGCTCTCAGGACTACGGTGAAAAAGGAAATATCTTCCAATAAAAGCTAGATAGAAGCAATGTCAGAAACTTTTTCATCATGTATCTACTCAGCTAAAAGAGTTGAACCTTTCTTTTGAGAGAGCAGTTTTGAAACACTCTTTTTGTGGAATCTGCAAGTGGATATTTGTCTAGCTTTGAGGATTTCGTTGGAAACGGGATTACATATAAAAAGCAGACAGCAGCATTCCCAGAAACTTTTTTGTGATGTTTGCATTCAAGTCACAGAGTTGAACATTCCCTTTCATAGAGCAGGTTTGAAACACTCTTTTTGTAGTATCTGGATGTGGACATTTGGAGCGCTTTCAGGCCTATGGTGAAAAAGGAAATATCTTCCCCTGATAACTAGACAGAAGCATTCTCAGAAACTTATTTGTGATGTGCGCCCTCAACTAACAGTGTTGAACCTTTCTTTTGATAGAGCAGTTTAGAAACACTCTTTTTGTAAAATCTGCAAGAGGATATTTGGATAGCTTTGAGGATTTCGTTGGAAACGGGATTGTCTTCATATAAAATCTAGACAGAAGCATTCTCAGAAGCTTCATTGGGATGTTTCAATTGAAGTCACAGTGTTGAACAGTCCCTTTCATAGAGCAGGTTTGAAACACTCTTTTTGTAGTATCTGGAAGTGGACATTGAGAGCGTTCTCAGGACTACGGTGAAAAAGGAAATATCTTCCAATAAAAGCTAGATAGAAGCAATGTCAGAAACTTTTTCATGATATATCTACTCAGCTAACAGAGTTCAACCTTTCTTTTGAGAGAGCAGTTTTAAAACAGTCTTTTTGTGGAATATGCAAGTGGATATTAAGCCAGCTTGGAGGATTTCGTTGGAAACGGGAATCCATATAAAATGCAGACAGCAGCATTCTCAGAAACTTCTTTGTGATGTTTGCATTCAAGTCACAGAGTTGAACATTCCCTTTCATAGAGCAGGTTTGAAACACTCTTTTTGTAGTATCTGGAAGTGGACATTTAGAGCGTTCTCAGGACTACGGTGAAAAAGGAAATATCTTCCAATAAAAGCTAGATAGAAGCAATGTCAGAAACTTTTTCATGATATATCTACTCAGCTAACAGAGTTCAACCTTTCTTTTGAGAGAGCAGTTTTAAAACAGTCTTTTTGTGGAATATGCAAGTGGATATTAAGCCAGCTTGGAGGATTTCGTTGGAAACGGGAATCCATATAAAATGCAGACAGCAGCATTCTCAGAAACTTCTTTGTGATGTTTGCATTGAAGTCCCAGATTTGAACATTCCCTTTCATAGAGCAGGTTTGAAACACGCCTTTTGTCATATCTGCAAGTTGTCCATTTGGAGCGCATTCCGGCTTGTGTTGAAAAAGGAAATATCCTCCCATAAAAACTAGATAGAAGCATTCTCAGAAACTTATTTGTGATGTGTGTACTCAACTAACAGAATTGAACCATCGTTTTGAAAGAGCAGTTTTGAAACACTCCTTTTGTGGAATCTGCAAGTGGATATTTGTCTAGCTTTGAGGATTTCGTTGGAAACGGGATTACATATAAAAAGCAGACAGCAGCATTCTCAGAAACTTCTTTGTGATGTTTGCATTCAAGTCACAGAGTTGAACATTCCCTTTCATAGAGCAGGTTTGAAACCCTCTTTTTGTAGTATCTGGAAGTGGACATTGAGAGCGCTCTCAGGACTACAGTGAAAAAGGAAATATCTTCCAATAAAAGCTAGATAGAAGCAATGTCAGAAAATTTTTCATGATGTACCTACTCAGCTAACAGAGTTGAACCTTTCTTTTGAGAGAGCAGTTTTGAAACACTCTTTTTGTGGAATCTGCAAGTGGATATTTGTCTAGCTTTGAGGATTTCGTTGGAAACGGGATTACATATAAAAAGCAGACAGCAGCATTCTCAGAAACTTCTTTGTGATGTTTGCATTCAAGTCACAGAGTTGAACATTCCCTTTCATAGAGCAGGTTTGAAACACTCTTTTTGTAGTATCTGGACGTGGACATTTGGAGAGCTTTCAGGCCTATGGTGAAAAAGGAAATATCTTCCCCTGAAAACTAGACAGAAGCATTCTCAGAAACTTATTTGTGATGTGCGCCCTCAACTAACAGAATTGAATCATCGTTTTGAAAGAGCAGTTTTGAAACACTCCTTTTGTGGAATCTGCAAGTGGATATTTGTCTAGCTTTGAGGATTTCGTTGGAAACGGGATTACATATAAAAAGCAGACAGCAGCATTCCCAGAAACTTCTTTGTGATGTTTGCATTCAAGTCACAGAGTTGAACATTCCCTTTCATAGAGCAGGTTTGAAACACTCTTTTTGTAGTATCTGGATGTGGACATTTGGAGCGCTTTCAGGCCTATGGTGAAAAAGGAAATATCTTCCCCTGAAAACTAGACAGAAGCATTCTCAGAAACTTATTTGTGATGTGCGCCCTCAACTAACAGTGTTGAACCTTTCTTTTGATAGGGCAGTTTTGAAACACTCTTTTTGTAAAATCTGCAAGAGGATATTTGGATAGCTTTGAGGATTTCGTTGGAAACGGGATTGTCTTCATATAAACTCTAGACAGAAGCATTCTCAGAAACTTCATTGGGATGTTTCAATTGAAGTCACAGTGTTGAACAGTCCCTTTCGTAGAGCAGGTTTGAAACACTCTTTTTGTAGTATCTGGAAGTGGACATTTGGAGCGCTCTCAGGACTACGGTGAAAAAGGAAATATCTTCCAATAAAAGCTAGATAGAAGCAATGTCAGAAAATTTTTCATGATGTATCTACTCAGCTAACAGAGTTGAACCTTTCTTTTGAGAGAGCAGTTTTGAAACACTCTTTTTGTGGAATCTGCAAGTGGATATTTGTCTAGCTTTGAGGATTTCGTTGGAAACGGGATTACATATAAAAAGCAGAGAGCAGCATTCTCAGAAACTTCCTTGTGATGCTTGCATTCAAGTCACAGAGTTGAACATTCCCTTTCATAGAGCAGGTTTGAAACACTCTTTTTGTAGTATCTGGAAGTGGACATTGAGAGCGCTCTCAGGACTACGGTGAAAAAGGAAATATCTTCCAATAAAAGCTAGATAGAAGGAATGTCAGAAACTTTTTCATGATATATCTACTCAGCTAACAGAGTTCAACCTTTCTTTTGAGAGAGAAGTTTTAAAACAGTCTTTTTGTGGAATATGCAAGTGGATATTAAGCCAGCTTGGAGGATTTCGTTGGAAACGGGAATGCATATAAAAAGCAGACAGCAGCATTCTCAGAAACTTCTTTGTGATGTTTGCATTGAAGTCCCAGATTTGAACATTCCCTTTCTTAGAGCAGGTTTGAAAGACGCCATTTGTCATATCTGGAGGTTGTCCATTTGGATCGCATTCCGGCTTGTGTTGAAAAAGGAAATATCCTCCCATAAAAACTAGATAGAAGCATTCTGAGAAACTTATTTGTGATGTGTGTACTCAACTAACAGTGTTGAACCTTTCTGTTGATAGAGCAGCTTTGATACACTCTTTTTGTCGTATCTGGAAATGGACATTTAGATCTCTTTGAGGTCTATGGTGAAAAAGGAAATATCTTCGCATAAAAACTAGACGGAAGCAGTCTCCACAACTTGTTTGGAATGTGTGTACTCAACTAACAGAGTTGAATCATTCTTTTGATAGAGCAGTTTTGAAGCACTCTTTTTGTAGAATCTGCAAGTGGATATTTGGATAGCTTAGAGGACTTCGTTGGAAACCGGAATATGTCCATATAAAACCTAGACAGAATCATTCTCAGAAAAAACTCTGTGAGGATTGCATTCAAGTCCCAGAGTTAATAATTCCCTTTCATAGAGCCGGTGTGAACACAAGATTTTGTAGTATATTGAACTGGACATTTGGAGTGCTTTGTGACGTATTGTGGAAAAGGAAATAGATTCCCATATAAACTAGGCAGAATCATTCTCAGAAACCAGTTTGTGATGTGTGTACTCAACTAACAGGGTTGAACCTTTCTTTTGAGAGAGCACTCTTGAAACACTCTTTTTGTAGACTCTGCAAGGACATATTTGGATAGCTTTGAGGACTTCGTTGGAAACGGGTATATCTTCATATAAAATCTAGACAGAAGCATTCTCAGAAACATCTTTGGGATGTTTGCATTCAAGTCACAGAGTTGAACATTCCGTTTCATGGAGAAGGTTTGAGACACTCTTTTTGTGGAATCTGCAAGTGGACATTTGGATCGCATTCAGGCCAATGGTGAGAAAGGGAATATCCTCAAATAAAAACTTGACAGAAGCATTCTCATAAACTAGTTTGTGATGTGTGTGCTCAGCTAACAGAGCTGAACCTTTCTTTTCATAGAGCAGTTTTGAAACACTCTTTTTGTAGAATCTGCAGGTGGATATTTCGAAATCTTTGAGGATTTCCTTGGAAACGGGAATATCTTCAAATAAAACCTAGACAGAAGCATTCTCAGAAACATCTTAGGGGTGTTAGCATTCAAGTCACAGAGTTGAACCTTCCTTTTCATAGAGCAGGTTTGAAACACTCATTTTTTGGAATCTGGAGGTGGACTTTTGGATCGCTTTGTGGCCTGTGGTGAAAAAGGGTATATCTTCGCATAAAAACTAGACAGAAGTATTCTCATAAACTAGTTTGTGATGTGTTTGCTCAACTAACAGAGTTAAACCTTTCTTTTGATAGCAGCTTTGAAACACTCTTTTTGTAGAATTTGCATGTGGATATTTGTACAGCTTTGAGGATTTCGTTGGAAACGGGAAAATCTTCCTATGGAATAGAGACACAGGCATTCTCAGAGACATCTTTGGGATGTTAGCATTCGAGTCACAGAGTTGAACATTCCCTATCATAGAGCAGGTTTGTAGCACTCTTTTTGTAGTATCTGGAAGTGGACATTTTGATCGCTTTGGGGCCTAAGGTGAAAAAGGAAATATCTTGCCACAAAAACTACACAGAAGCATTCTCAGAAACTACGTTGTGATGTGTTTACTCAACTAACAGAGTTGAACCTTTCTTTTGATAGAGCAGTTTTGAAACACTCTTTTTGTAGAATCTGCAGGTGGATATTTGGATAGCTTTGAGGATTTCCTTGGAAAACGGAATATCTTCATAGAAAATCTAGACAGAAGCATTCGCAGAATCACCTTTGTGATGTCTGCATTGAAGTCAGAGAGTTGAACATTCCCTTTCATAGAGCAGCTTTGAAACATTCTTTTTGTAGTATGTGGAAATGGACATTTAGATCTCTTTGAGGTCTATGGTGAAAAAGGAAATATCTTCGCATAAAAACTAGACGGAAGCAGTCTCCAAAACTTGTTTGGAATGTGTGTACTCAACTAACAGAGTTGAATCTTTCTTTTGATAGAGCAGTTTTGAAACACTCTTTTTGTAGTATCTGCAAGTGGATATTTGGATACCTTAGAGGATTTCGTTGGAAACGGGAATATGTCCATATAAAACCTAGACAGAAGCATTCTCAGAAAAATCTCTGTGAGGATTGCATTCAAGTCCCAGAGTTGAACATTCCCTTTCATAGAGCAGGTGTGAACACAAGATTTTGTAGTATATGGAACTGGACATGTGGAGTGCTTTGTGACGTATTGTGAAAAAGGAAATAGATTCCCATATAAACTAGGCAGAAGCATTCTCAGAAACCAGTTTGTGATGTGTGTACTCAACTAACAGGGTTGAACCTTTCTTTTGAGAGAGCACTCTTGAAACACTCTTTTTGTAGACTCTGCAAGGGGGTATTTGGATAGCTTTGAGGACTCCGTTGGAAACGGGTATATCTTCATATAAAATCTAGACAGAAGCATTCTCAGAAACCTCCTTGGGATGTTTGCATTCAAGTCACAGAGTTCAACATTCCCTTTCATGGAGCAGGTTTGAAACACTCTTTTTGTGGAATCTGGAAGTGGATATTTGGATCGCATTGAGGCCTAAGGTGAAAAAGGGAATATCTTCTAATGAAAACTCGACAGAAGCGTTCTCATAAACTAGTTTGTGATGTGTGTGCCTAACTAACAGAGCTGAACCTTTCTTTTCATAGAGCTGTTTTGAAACACTCTTTTTGTAGAATCTGCATGTGGATATTTGGAAAGCTTTGAGGATTTTGTTGGAAACGGGAATATCTTCATATAAAATCTAGGCAGAAGCATTCTCAGAAACATCTTTGGCGTGTTAGCATTCAAGTCACAGAGTTGAACATTCCGTTTCATGGAGCAGGTTTGAAACACTCATTTTGTGGAATCTGGAAGTGGACTTTTGGATCACTTTGAGGCCTGTGGTGAAAAAGGTATATCTTCGCATAAAAACTAGACAGAAGTATTCTCATAAAGTACTTTGTGATGTGTTTGCTCAACTAACGGAGCTAAACCTTTCTTTTGATAGAGCAGTTTTGAAACACTCTTTTTGTAGAATTTGCATGTGGATATTTGGACAGTTTTGAGGATTTCGTTGGAAACGGGAAAATCTTCATACGAAATCGAGACACAAGCATTCTCAGAAACCTCTTTGGGATGTTAGCATTCGAGTCACTGATTTGAAATTTCCCTTTCATAGAGCAGGTTTGAAGCACTCTGTTTGTAGTATCTGGAAGTGGACATTTTGATCACTTTGTGGCCTAAGGTGAAAAAGGAAATATCTTGCCACAAAAACTACACAGAAGCATTCTCAGAAACTACGTTGTGATGTGTTTACTCAACTAACAGAGTTGAATGTTTCTTTTGATAGAGCAGTTTTGAAACACTCTTTTTGTAGAATCTGCAGGTGGATATCTGGATAGCTTTGAGGATTTCCTTGGAAAAGGGAGTATCTTCATATAAAATCTAGACAGAAACATTTGCAGAATCATCTTTGTGATGTCTGCATTGAAGTCAGAGAGTTGAACATTCCCTTTCATAGAGCAGCTTTGAAACATTCTTTTTGTAGTATCTGGAAATGGACATTTATATCTCTTTGAGGTCTATGGTGAAAAAGGAAATATCTTCGCATAAATACTAGACGGAAGCAGTCTCCAAAACTTGTTTGGAATGTGTGTACTCAACTAACAGAGTTGAATCTTTCTTTTGATAGAGCAGTTTTGAAACACTCTTTTTGTAGAATCTGCAAGTGGATATTTGGATAGCTTAGAGGACTTCATTGGAAACGGGAATATGTCCATATAAAACCTAGACAGAAGCATTCTCAGAAAAATCTCTGTGAGGATTGCATTCAAGTCCCAAATTTGAACATTCCCTTTCATAGAGCAGGTGTGAACCCAAGATTTTGTAGTATATGGAACTGGACATGTGGAGTGCTTTGTGACATATTGTGAAAAACGAAATAGATTCCCATATAAACTAGGCAGAAGCATTCTCAGAAACCAGTTTCTGATGTGTGTACTCAACTAACAGGGTTGAACCTTTCTTTTGAGAGAGCACTCTTGAAACACTCTCTTTGTAGACTCTGCAAGGGGATATTTGGATAGCTTTGAGGACTTCGTTGGAAACGGGTATATCTTCATAAAAAATCTAGACAGAAGCATTCTCAGAAACATCTTTGGGATGTTTGCATTCAAGTCACAGAGTTGAACATTCCGTTTCATGGAGCAGGTTGGAAACACTCTTTTTGTGGAATCTGGAAGTGAACATTTGGATCACATTCAGGCCAATGGTGAGAAAGGGAATATCCTCGAATGAAAACTTGGCAGAAGCATTCTCATAAACTAGTTTGTGATGTGTGTGCTCAGCTAACAGAGCTGAACCTTTCTTTTCATAGAGCAGTTTTAAAACACTCTTTTTGTAGAGTCTGCATGTGGATATTTGGAAAGCTTTGAGGATTTCCTTGGAAACGGGAATATCTTCATATAAAACCTAGACAGAAGCATTCTCAGAAACATCTTTGGGGTGTTAGCACTCAAGTCACAGAGTTAAACGTTCCTTTTCATAGAGCAGGTTTGAAACACTCATTTTTTGGAATCTGGAAGTGGAATTTTGGATCGCTTTGAGGCCTGTGGTGAAAAAGGGTATATCCTCGCATTAAAAACTAGACAGAAGTATTCTCATAAACTAATTTGTGATGTGTTTGCTCAACTTACAGAGTTAAACCTTTCTTTTGATAGAGCAGCCTTGAAACACTCTTTTTGTAGAATTTGCATGTGGATATTTGTACAGCTTTGAGGATTTCGTTGGAAACGGGAAAATCTTCCTATGAAATAGAGACACAGGCATTCTCAGAGACATCTTTGGGATGTTAGCATTCGAGTCACAGAGTTGAACATTCCCTATCATAGAGCAGGTTTGTAGCACTCTTTTTGTAGTATCTGGAAGTGGACATTTTGATCGCTTTGGGGCCTAAGGTGAAAAAGGAAATATCTTGCCACAAAAACTACACAGAAGCATTCTCAGAAACTACGTTGTGATGTGTTTACTCAACTAACAGAGTTGAACCTTTCTTTTGATAGAGCAGTTTTGAAACACTCTTTTTGTAGAATCTGCAGGTGGATATTTGGATAGCTTTGAGGATTTCCTTGGAAAAGGGAATATCTTCATATAAAATCTAGACAGAAGCATTCGCAGAATCACCTTTGTGATGTCTGCATTGAAGTCAGAGTGTTGAACATTCCCTTTCATAGAGCAGCTTTGAAACACTCTTTTTGTAGTATGTGGAAATGGACATTTAGATCTCTTTGAGGTCTATGGTGAAAAAGGAAATATCTTCGCATAAAAACTAGACGGAAGCAGTCTCCAAAACTTGTTTGGAATGTGTGTACTCAATTAACAGAGTTGAATCTTTCTTTTGATAGAGCAGTTTTGAAACACTCTTTTTGTAGAATCTGCAAGTGGATATTTGGATAGCTTAGAGGACTTCGTTGGAAACGGGAATATGTGCATATAAAACCTAGACAGAAGCATTCTCAGAAAAATCTCTGTGAGGATTGCATTCAAGTCCCAGAGTTGAACATTCCCTTTCAAAGAGCAGGTGTGAACACAAGATTTTGTAGTATATGGAACTGGACATGTGGAGTCCTTTGTGACGTATTGTGAAAAAGGAAATATCTTCACATATAAACTAGGCAGAAGCATTCTCAGAAACCAGATTGTGATGTGTGTACTCAACTAACAGGGTTGAACCTGTCTTTTGAGAGAGCACTCTTGAAACACTCTTTTTGTAGAATCTGCAAGTGGATATTTGGATAGCTTAGAGGACTTCATTGGAAACGGGAATATGTCCATATAAAACCTAGACAGAAGCATTCTCAGAAAAATCTCTGTGAGGATTGCATTCAAGTCCCAAATTTGAACATTCCCTTTCATAGAGCAGGTGTGAACCCAAGATTTTGTAGTATATGGAACTGGACATGTGGAGTGCTTTGTGACGTATTGTGAAAAACGAAATAGATTCCCATATAAACTAGGCAGAAGCATTCTCAGAAACCAGTTTCTGATGTGTGTACTCAACTAACAGGGTTGAACCTTTCTTTTGAGAGAGCATTCTTGAAACACTCTCTTTGTAGACTCTGCAAGGGGATATTTGGATAGCTTTGAGGACTTCGTTGGAAACGGGTATATCTTCATAAAAAATCTAGACAGAAGCATTCTCAGAAACATCTTTGGGATGTTTGCATTCAAGTCACAGAGTTGAACATTCCGTTTCATGGAGCAGGTTGGAAACACTCTTTTTGTGGAATCTGGAAGTGAACATTTGGATCACATTCAGGCCAATGGTGAGAAAGGGAATATCCTCGAATGAAAACTTGGCAGAAGCATTCTCATAAACTAGTTTGTGATGTGTGTGCTCAGCTAACAGAGCTGAACCTTTCTTTTCATAGAGCAGTTTTAAAACACTCTTTTTGTAGAATCTGCATGTGGATATTTGGAAAGCTTTGAGGATTTCCTTGGAAACGGGAATATCTTCATATAAAACCTAGACAGAAGCATTCTCAGAAACATCTTTGGGGTGTTAGCACTCAAGTCACAGAGTTAAACGTTCCTTTTCATAGAGCAGGTTTGAAACACTCATTTTTTGGAATCTGGAAGTGGAATTTTGGATCGCTTTGAGGCCTGTGGTGAAAAAGGGTATATCCTCGCATTAAAAACTAGACAGAAGTATTCTCATAAACTAATTTGTGATGTGTTTGCTCAACTTACAGAGTTAAACCTTTCTTTTGATAGAGCAGCCTTGAAACACTCTTTTTGTAGAATTTGCATGTGGATATTTGTACAGCTTTGAGGATTTCGTTGGAAACGGGAAAATCTTCCTATGAAATAGAGACACAGGCATTCTCAGAGACATCTTTGGGATGTTAGCATTCGAGTCACAGAGTTGAACATTCCCTATCATAGAGCAGGTTTGTAGCACTCTTTTTGTAGTATCTGGAAGTGGACATTTTGATCGCTTTGGGGCCTAAGGTGAAAAAGGAAATATCTTGCCACAAAAACTACACAGAAGCATTCTCAGAAACTACGTTGTGATGTGTTTACTCAACTAACAGAGTTGAACCTTTCTTTTGATAGAGCAGTTTTGAAACACTCTTTTTGTAGAATCTGCAGGTGGATATTTGGATAGCTTTGAGGATTTCCTTGGAAAAGGGAATATCTTCATATAAAATCTAGACAGAAGCATTCGCAGAATCACCTTTGTGATGTCTGCATTGAAGTCAGAGTGTTGAACATTCCCTTTCATAGAGCAGCTTTGAAACACTCTTTTTGTAGTATGTGGAAATGGACATTTAGATCTCTTTGAGGTCTATGGTGAAAAAGGAAATATCTTCGCATAAAAACTAGACGGAAGCAGTCTCCAAAACTTGTTTGGAATGTGTGTACTCAATTAACAGAGTTGAATCTTTCTTTTGATAGAGCAGTTTTGAAACACTCTTTTTGTAGAATCTGCAAGTGGATATTTGGATAGCTTAGAGGACTTCGTTGGAAACGGGAATATGTGCATATAAAACCTAGACAGAAGCATTCTCAGAAAAATCTCTGTGAGGATTGCATTCAAGTCCCAGAGTTGAACATTCCCTTTCATAGAGCAGGTGTGAACACAAGATTTTGTAGTATATGGAACTGGACATGTGGAGTCCTTTGTGACGTATTGTGAAAAAGGAAATATCTTCACATATAAACTAGGCAGAAGCATTCTCAGAAACCAGATTGTGATGTGTGTACTCAACTAACAGGGTTGAACCTGTCTTTTGAGAGAGCACTCTTGAAACACTCTTTTTGTAGACTCTGCAAGGGGATATTTGGATAGCTTTGAGGACTTCGTTGGAAACGGTTATATCTTCATATAAAATCTAGGCAGAAGCATTCTCAGAAACATCTTTGGGATGTTTGCATTCAAGTCACAGAGTTGAACATTCCCCTTCATGGAGCAGGTTTGAAACAATCTTTTTGTGGAATCTGGAAGTGGACATTTGTTTCGCATTGAGGCCAATGGTGAAAAAGGGAATATCTTCGAATAAAAACTAGAAAGAAGCATTCTCATAAACTAGTTTGTGATGTGTGTGCTTAGCTAACAGAGCTGAACCTTTCTTTCCATAGTGCAGTTTTGAAACACTCTTTTTGTAGAATCTGCAGGTGGAGATTTGGAAAGCTTTGCGGATTTCCTTGGAAACGGGAATATCTTCATATAAAACCTAGACAGAAGCATTCTCAGAAACATCTTTGCGGTGTTAGCATTCAAGTCACAGAGTTAAACGTTCCTTTTCACAGAGCAGGTTTGAAACACTCATTTTTTGGAATCTGGAAGTGGACTTTTGGATCGCTTTGAGGCCTGTGGTGAAAAAGGGTATATCTTCGCATAAAAACTAGACAGAAGTATACTCATAAACTAGCTTGTGATTTTTTTGCTCAACCAACAGAGTTAAACCTTTCTTTTGATAGAGCAGCTTTGAAACACTCTTTTTGTAGAATTTGCATGTGGACATTTGGACAGCTTTGAGGATTTCGTTGGAAACGGGAAAATCTTCCTATGAAATAGAGACACAAGCATTCTCAGAAACCTCTTTGGGATGTTAGCATTTGAGTCAGAGAGTTCAACATTCCTTATCAAAGAGCAGGTTTGAAGCACTCTTTTTGTAGTATCTGGAAGTGGACATTGTGATCGCTTTGAGGCGTAAGGTGAAAAAGGAAATATCTTGCCACAAAAACTACACAGAAGCATTCTCAGAAACTACGTTGTGATGTGTTTACTCAACTAACAGAGTTGAACCTTTCTTTTGATAGAGCAGTTTTGAAACACTCTTTTTGTAGAATCTGCAGGTGGATATTTGGATAGCTTTGAGGATTTCCTTGGAAAAGGGAATGTCTTCATATAAAATCTAGACAGAAGCATTTGCAGAATCACCTTTGTGATGTTTGCATGGAAGTCAGAGAGTTGAACATTCCCTTTCATAGAGCAGCTTTGAAACACTCTTTTTGTTGTATCTGGAAATGGACATTTAGATCTCTTTGAGGTCTATGGTGAAAAAGGAAATATCTTCACCTAAAAACTAGATGGAAGCAGTCTTCAAAACTAGTTTGGAATGTGTGCACTCAATTAACAGAGTTGAATCTTTCTTCTCATAGAGCAGTTTTGAAACACTCTTTTTGTAGAATCTGCAAATGGATATTTGGATAGCTTAGAGGATTTCGTTGGAAACAGGAATATGTCCATATAAAACCTCAACAGAGGCATTCTCAGAAAGAAATCTGTGAGGATTGCATTCAAGTCCCAGAGTTGAACATTCCCTTTCATAGAGCAGGTGTGAACACAAGATTTTGTAGTATATGGAACTGGACATTTGGAGTGCTTTGTGACCTATTGTGAAAAAGGAAATATCTTCCCATATAAACTAGGCAGAATCATTCTCAGAAACCAGTTTGTGATGTGTGTACTCAACTAACAGGGTTGAACCTTTCTTTTGAGAGAGCACTCTTGAAAGAGTCTTTTTGTAGAGTCTGCAAGAGGATATTTGGATAGCTTTGAGGACTTCGTTGGAAAGGGGCATATCTTCATATAAAATCTAGACAGAAGCATTCTCAGAAACATCCTTGGGATGTTTGCATTCAAGTCACAGAGTTGAACATTCCCTTTCATGGAGCAGGTTTGAAACACTCTTTTTGTGGAATCTGGAAGTGGATATTTGGATCGCATTGAGGCCTAAGGTGAAAAAGGGAATATCTTCTAATTAAAACTAGACAGAAGCGTTCTCATAAACTAGTTTGTGATGTGTGTGCCTAACTAACAGAGCTGAAACTTTCTTTTCATAGAGCTGTTTTGAAACACTCTTTTTGTAGAATCTGCATGTGGATATTTGGAAAGCTTTGAGGATTTTGTTGGAAACGGGAATATCTTCATATAAAACCTAGACAGAAGCATTCTCAGAAACATCTTTGGCGTGTTAGCATTCAAGTCACAGAGTTGAACATTCCGTTTCATGGAGCAGGTTTGAAACACTCATTTTGTGGAATCTGGAAGTGGACTTTTGGATCACTTTGAGGCCTGTGGTGAAAAAGTGTATATCTTCGCATAAAAACTAGACAGAAGTATTCTCATAAAGTACTTTGTGATGTGTTTGCTCAGCTAACGGAGTTAAACCTTTCTTTTGATAGAGCAGTTTTGAAACACTCTTTTTGTAGTATTTGCATATGGATATTTGGACAGTTTTGAGGAATTCGTTGGAAACGGGAAAATCTTCCTATGAAATAGAGACACAAGCATTCTCAGAAACCACTTTGGGATGTTAGCATTTGAGTCAGAGAGTTCAACATTCCTTATCAAAGAGCAGGTTTGAAGCACTCTGTTTGTAGTATCTGGAAGTGGACATTTTGATCGCTTTGTGGCCTAAGGTGAAAAAGGAAATATCTCGCCACAAAAACTACACAGAAGCATTCTCAGAAACTACGTTGTGATGTGTTTACTCAACTAAAAGTGTTGAATGTTTCTTTCGATGGAGCAGTTTTGAAACACTCTTTTTGTAGAATCTGCAGGTGGATATTTGGACAGCTTTGAGGATTTCCTTGGAAAAGCGAATATCTTCATATAAAATCTATACACAAGCATTCGTAGAATCAACTTTTTGATGTTTGCATGGAAGTCAGAGAGTTGAACATTCCCTTTCATAGAGCAGCTTTGAAACATTCTTTTTGTAGTATCTGGAAATGAACATTTATATCTCTTTGTGGTCTATGGTGAAAAAGGAAATATCTTCGCATAAAAACTAGATGGAAGCAGTCTCCAAAACTTGTTTGGAATGTGTGTACTCAACTAACAGAGTTGAATCTTTCTTTTGATAGAGCAGTTTTGAAACACTCTTTTTGTAGAATCTGCAAGTGGATATTTGGATAGCTTAGAGGACTTCGTTGGAAACGGGAATATGTCCATATAAAACATAGACAGAAGCATTCTCAGGAAAAACTCTGTGAGGATTGCATTCAAGTCCCAGAGTTGAACATTCCCTTTCATAGAGGAGGTGTGAACACAAGATTTTGTAGTATATGGAACTGGACATTTGGAGTGCTTTGTGACGTATTGTGAAAAAGGAAATATCTTCCCATATAAACTAGGCAGAAGCATTCTCAGAAACCAGTTTGTGATGTGTGTACTCAACTAACAGGGTTGAACCTGTCTTTTGAGAGAGCACTCTTGAAACACTCTTTTTGTAGACTCTGCAAGGGGGTATTTGGATAGCTTTGAGGACTTCGTTGGAAACGGGTATATCTTCATCTAAAATCTAGGCAGAAGCATTCTCAGAAACATCTTTGGGATGTTTGCATTCACGTCACAGAGTTGAACATTCCCCTTCATGGAGCAGGTTTGAAACAATCTTTTTGTGGAATCTGGAAGTGGACATTTGCATCGCATTGAGGCCAATGGTGAAAAAGGGAACATCTTCGAATAAAAACTAGAAAGAAGCATTCTCATAAACTAGTTTGTGATGTGTGTGCTTAGCTAACAGAGCTGAACCTTTCTTTTCATAGAGCAGTTTTGAAACACTCTTTTTGTAGAATCTGCAGGTGGAGATTTGGAAAGCTTTGCGGATTTCCTTGGAAACGGGAATATCTTCATATAAAACCTAGAGAGAAGCATTCTCAGAAACATCTTTGGGGTGTTAGCATTCAAGTCACAGAGTTGAACGTTCCCTTTCATAGAGCAGGTTTGAAACACTCTTTTTGGGGAATCTGGAAGTGGAATTTTGGATCGCTTTGAGGCCTGTGGTGAAAAAGTGAATATCTTCGCATAAAAAGTAGACAGAAGTATTCTCATAAACTAGTTTGTGATATGTTTGCTCAACTAACAGAGTTAAACCTTTCTTTTGATAGAGCAGCTTTGAAACACTCTTTTTGTAGAATTTGCATGTGGATATTTGCACAGCTTTGAGGATTTCGTTGGAAACGGGAAAATCTTCCTATGAAATAGAGACACAAGCATTCTCAGAAACCTCTTTGGGATGTTAGCATTTGAGTCAGAGAGTTCAACATTCCTTATCATAGAGCAGGTTTGAAGCACTCTTTTTGTAGTATCTGGAAGTGGACATTGTGATCGCTTTGAGGCGTAAGGTGAAAAAGGAAATATCTTGCCACAAAAACTACACAGAAGCATTCTCAGAAACGTTGTGATGTGTTTACTCAACTAACAGAGTTGAACCTTTCTTTTGATAGAGCAGTTTTGAAACACTCTTTTTGTAGAATCTGCAGGTGGATATTTGGATAGCTTTGAGGATTTCCTTGGAAAAGGGAATATCTTCATATAAAATCTAGACAGAAGCATTTGCAGAATCACCTTTGTGATGTTTGCATGGAAGTCAGAGAGTTGAACATTCCCTTTCATAGAGCAGCTTTGAAACATTCTTTTTGTAGTATCTGGAAATGGACATTTAGATCTCTTTTAGGTCTATGGTGAAAAAGGAAATATCTTCACCTAAAAACTAGACAGAAGCAGTCTTCAAAACTAGTTTGGAATGTGTGCACTCAACTAACAGAGTTGAATCTTTCTTGTCATAGAGCAGTTTTGAAACACTCTTTTTGTAGAATCTGCAAATGGATATTTGGATAGCTTAGAGGATTTCGTTGGAAACAGGAATATGTCCATATAAAACCTCGACAGAGGCATTCTCAGAAAAAACTCTGTGAGGATTGCATTCAAGTCCCAGAGTTGAACATTCCCTTTCATAGAGCAGGTGTGAACACAAGATTTTGTAGTATATGGAACTGGACATTTGGAGTGCTTTGTGACCTATTGTGAAAAAGGAAATATCTTCCCATATAAACTAGGCAGAATCATTCTCAGAAACCAGTTTGTGATGCGTGTACTCAACTAACAGGGTTGAACCTTTCTTTTGAGAGAGCACTCTTGAAAGAGTCTTTTGGTAGAGTCTGCAAGGGGATATTTGGATAGCTTTGAGGACTTCGTTGGAAAGGGGCATATCTTCATATAAAATCTAGACAGAAGCATTCTGAGAAACATCCTTGGGATGTTTGCATTCAAGTCACAGAGTTGAACATTCCCTTTCATGGAGCAGGTTTGAAACACTCTTTTTGTGGAATCTGGAAGTGGATATTTGGATCGCATTGAGGCCTAAGGTGAAAAAGGGAATATCTTCTAATGAAAACTAGACAGAAGCATTCTCATAAACTAGTTTGTGATGTGTGTGCCTAACTAACAGAGCTGAACCTTTCTTTTCTTAGAGCTGTTTTGAAACACTCTTTTTGTAGAATCTGCATGTGGATATTTGGAAAGCTTTGAGGATTTTGTTGGAAACGGGAATATCTTCATACAAAATATAGACAGAAGCATTCTCAGAAACATCTTTGGCGTGTTAGCATTCAAGTCACAGAGTTGAACATTCCGTTTCATGGAGCAGGTTTGAAACACTCATTTTGTGGAATCTGGAAGTGGACTTTTGGATCACTTTGAGGCCTGTGGTGAAAAAGGGTATATCTTCGCATAAAAACTAGACAGAAGTATTCTCATAAAGTACTTTGTGATGTGTTTGCTCAGCTAACGGAGTTAAACCTTTCTTTTGATAGAGCAGTTTTGAAACACTCTTTTGTAGAATTTGCATGTGGATATTTGGACAGTTTTGAGGATTTCGTTGGAAACGGGAAAATCTTCATATGAAATAGAGACACAAGCATTCTCAGAAACCTCTTTGGGGTGTTAGCATTCGAGTCACTGAGTTGAAAATTCCCTTTCATAGAGCAGGTTTGAAGTACTCTGTTTGTAGTATCTGGAAGTGGACATTTTGATCGCTTTGTGGCCTAAGGTGAAAAAGGAAATATCTTGCACAAAAACTACACAGAAGCATTCTCAGAAACTACGTTGTGATGTGTTTACTCAACTAACAGAGTTGAATTTTTCTTTTGATAGAGCAGTTTTGAAACACTCTTTTTGTAGAATCTGCAGGTGGATATTTGGATAGCTTTGAGGATTTCCTTGGAAAAAGGAATATCTTCATATAAAATCTAGACAGAAGCATTCGTAGAATCACCTTTTTGATGTTTGCATGGAAGTCAGAGAGTTGAACATTCCCTTTCATAGAGCAGCTTTGAAACATTCTTTTTGTAGTATCTGGAAATGGACATTTATATGTCTTTGAGGTCTATAGTGAAAAAGGAAATATCTTCGCATAAAAACTAGACGGAAGCAGTCTCCAAAACTTGTTTGGAATGTGTGTACTCAACTAACAGAGTTGAATCTTTCTTTTGATAGAGCAGTTTTGAAACACTCTTTTTGTAGAATCTGCAAGTGGATATTTGGATAGCTTAGAGGATTTCGTTGGAAACGGGAATATGTCCATATAAAACCTAGACAGAAGCATTCTCAGGAAAAACTCTGTGAGGATTGCATTCAAGTCCCAGAGTTGAACATTCCCTTTCATAGAGCAGGTGTGAACACAAGATTTTGTAGTATATGGAACAGGACATTTGGAGTGCTTTGTGACGTATTGTGAAAAAGGAAGTATCTTCACATATAAACTAGGCAGAAGCATTCTCAGAAACCAGATTGTGATGTGTGTACTCAACTAACAGGGTTGAACCTTTCTTTTGAGAGAGCACTCTTGAAACACTCTTTTTGTAGACTCTGCAAGGGGATATTTGGATAGCTTTGAGGACTTTGTAGGAAACGGATATATCTTCATATAAAATCTAGACAGAAGCATTCTCAGAAACATCTTTGGGATGTTTGCATTCAAGTCACAGAGTTGAACATTCCCCTTCATGGAGCAGGTTTGAAACAATCTTTTTGTGGAATCTGGAAGTGGACATTTGGATCGCATTGAGGCCAATGGTGAAAAAGGGAATATCTTGGAATAAAAACTAGACAGAAGCATTCTCATAAACTAGTTTGTGATGGGTGTGCTCAGCTAATAGGGCTGAACCTTTCTTTTCATAGAGCAGTTTTGAAACACTCTTTTTGTAGAATCTGCATTTGGATATTTGGAAAGGTTTGAGGATTTCGTTGGATACGGGAATTTCTTCATATAAAATCTAGGCAGAAGCATTCTCAGAAACATCTTTGGCGTGTTAGCATTCAAGTCACAGAGTTGAACATTCCGTTTCATGGAGCAGGTTTGAAAAACTCTTTTTGTGGAATCTGGAAGTGGACATTAGGATCGCTTTTAGGTCTGTGGTGAAAAAGGGTATATCTTCGCATAAAAAGTAGACAGAAGTATTCTCATAAACTAGTTTGTGATGTGTTTGCTCAACTAACAGAGTTCAACCTTTCTTTTGATAGAGCAGTTTTGAAACACTCTTTTTTTAGAATTTGCATGTGGATATTTGGACAGCTTTGAGGATTTCGTTGGAAACGGGAAAATCTTGATATGAAATAGAGACACAAGCATTCTCAGAAACCTCTTTGGGATGTTAGCATTCGAGTCACAGAGTTGAACATTCCCTTTCATAGAGCAGATTTGAAGCACTCTTTTTGTAGTATCTGGAAGTGGACATTTTGATCGCTTTGAGGCGTACTGTGAAAAACGAAATATCTCGCCACAAAAACTACACAGAAGCATTCTCAGAAACTACGTTGTGATGTGTTTACTCAACTGAGTTGAACCTTTCTTTTGATAGAGCAGTTTTGAAACACTCTTTTTGTAGAATCTGCAGGTGGATATTTGGATAGCTTTGAGGATTTCCTTGGAAAAGGGAATATCTTCATAGAAAATCTAGACAGAAGCATTCGCAGAATAACCTTTTTGATGTTTGCATGGAAGTCAGAGAGTTGAACATTCCCTTTCATAGAGCAGCTTTGAAACACTCTTTTTGTAGTATCTGGAAATGGACTTTTAGATCTCCTTGAGGTCTATGGTGAAAAAGGAAATATCTTCGCCTACAAACTGGACGGAAGCAGTCTTCAAAACTAGTTTGGAATGTGTGTACTCAACTAACAGAGTTGAATCTTTCTTCTCATAGAGCAGTTTTGAAACACTCTTTTTGTAGAATCTGCAAGTGGATATTTGGATAGCTTAGAGGATTTCGTTGGAAACGGGAATATGTCCATAT
Source organism: Homo sapiens (assembly GCF_000001405.40). Taxonomy (NCBI): domain Eukaryota; kingdom Metazoa; phylum Chordata; class Mammalia; order Primates; family Hominidae; genus Homo; species Homo sapiens. The sequence continues at coordinate 94,183,065 of NC_000002.12, forward strand.
AAAACCTAGACAGAAAGATTCTCAGAAAAAACTCTGTGAGGATTGCATTCAAGTCCCAGAGTTGAACATTCCCTTTCATAGAGCAGGTGTGAACACAAGATTTTGTAGTATATGGAACTGGACATTTGGAGTGCTTTGTGACCTATTGTGAAAAAGCAAATATCTTCCCATATAAACTAGGCAGAAGCATTCTCAGAATCAGTTTGTGATGTGTGTACTCAACTAACAGGGTTGAACCTTTCTTTTGAGAGAGCACTCCTGAAACCGTCTTTTTGTAGACTCTGCAAGGGGATATTTGGATAGCTTTGAGGACTTCGTTGGAAAGGGGAATATCTTCATATAAAATCTAGACAGAAGCATTCTCAGAAACATCTTTGTGTGTTAGCACTCAAGTCACAGAGTTAAACGTTCCTTTTCATAGAGCAGGTTTGAAACACTCATTTTTTGGAATCTGGAAGTGGAATTTTGGATCGCTTTGAGGCCTGTGGTGAAAAAGGGTATATCTTCACATAAAAACTAGACAGAAGTATTCTCTTAAACTAATTTGTGATGTGTTTGCTCAACTAACAGAGTTAAACCTTTCTTTTGATAGAGCAGCTTTGAAACACTCTTTTTGTAGAATTTGCATGTGGATATTTGGACAGCTTTGAGGACTTCGTTGGAAACGGGTATATCTTCATATAAAATCTAGACAGAAGCATTCTCAGAAACATCTTTGGGATGTTTGCATTCAAGTCACAGAGTTGAACATTCCGTTTCATGGAGCAGGTTTGAAACACTCTTTTTGTGGAATCTGGAAGTGAACATTTGGATCGCATTCAGGCCAATGGTGAGAAAGGGAATATCCTCGAATAAAAACTTGGCAGAAGCATTCTCATAAACTAGTTTGTGATGTGTGTGCTCAGCTAACAGAGCTGAACCTTTCTTTTCATAGAGCAGTTTTGAAACACTCTTTTTGTAGAATCTGCATGTGGATATTTGGAAAGCTTTGACGAGTTCCTTGGAAACGGGAATATCTTCATATAAAACCTAGACAGAAGCATTCTCAGAAACATCTTTTGGGTGTTAGCATTCAAGTCACAGAGTTAAACGTTCCTTTTCACAGAGCAGGTTTGAAACACTCATTTTTTGGAATCTGGAAGTGGACTTTTGGATTGCTTTGAGGCCTGTGGTGAAAAAGGGTATATCTTTGCATAAAAACTAGACAGAAGTATTCTCATAAACTAGTTTGTGATGTGTTTGCTCAACCAACAGAGTTAAACCTTTCTTTTGATAGAGCAGTTTTGAAACACTCTTTTTGTAGAATTTGCATGTGGATATTTGGACAGCTTTGAGGATTTCGTTGGAAACGGGAAAATCTTCATATGAAATAGAGACACAAGCATTCTCAGAAACCTCTTTGGGATGTTAGCATTCTAGTCACCGAGTTGAACATTCCAGTTCATAGAGCAGGTTTGAAGCACTCTTTTTGTAGTGTCTGGAAGTGGAGATTTTGATCGCTTTGGGGCCTAAGGTGAAAAAGGAAATATCTTGCCACAAAAACTACACAGAAGCATTCTCAGAAACTACGTTGTGATGTGTTTACTCAACTAACAGAGTTGAACCTTTCTTTTGATAGAGCAGTTTTGAAACACTCTTTTGTAGAATCTGCAGGTGGATATCTGGATAGCTTTGAGGATTTCCTTGGAAACGGGAGTATCTTCCTGTAAAATCTAGATAGAAGCATTCGGAGAATCATCTTTGTGATGTCTGCAATGAAGTCAGAGAGTTGAACATTCCCTTTAATAGAGCAGCTTTGAAACATTCTTTTTGTAGTATCTGGAAATGGACATTTAGATCTCTTTGAGGTCTATGGTGAATAAGGAAATATCTTCGCATAAAAACTAGACGGAAGCAGTCTCCAAAACTTGTTTGGAATGTGTGTACTCAACTAACAGAGTTGAATCTTTCTTTTGATAGAGCAGTTTCGAAACACTCTTTTTGTAGAATCTGCAAGTGGATATTTGGATAGCTCAGAGGATTTCGTTGGAAACGGGAATATGTCCATATAAAACCTAGACAGAAGCATTCTCAGGAAAATCTCTGTGAGGATTGCATTCAAGTCCCAGAGTTGAACATTCCCTTTCATAGAGCAGGTGTGAACACAAGATTTTGTAGTATATGGAACTGAACATTTGGAGTGCTTTGTGACGTATTGTGAAAAAAGAAATATCTTCCCATATAAACTAGGCAGAAGCATTCTCAGAAACCAGTTTGTGATGTGTGTACTCAACTAACAGGGTTGAACCTTTCTTTTGAGAGAGCACTCTAGAAACACTCTTTTTGTAGACTCTGCAAGGGCATATTTGGATAGCTTTGAGGACTTCGTTGGAAACGGGTATATCTTCACATAAAATCTAGACAGAAGCATTCTCAGAAACATCTTTGGGATGTTTGCATTCAAGTCACAGAGTTGAACATTCCATTTCATGGAGAAGGTTTGAAAAACTCTTTTTGTGGAATCTGGAAGTGGACATTTGGATCGCATTCAGGCCAATGGTGAGAAAGGGAATATCCTCGAATAAATACTTGAGAGAAGCATTCTCATAAACTAGTTTGTGATGTGTGTGCTCAGCTAACAGTGCTGAACCTTTCTTTTCATAGAGTAGTTTTGAAACACTCTTTTTGTCGAATCTGCATGTGGATATTTGGAAAGCTTTGAGGATTTCATTGGAAATGGGAATATCTTCATATAAAATCTATGCAGAAGCATTCTCAGAAATATCTTTGGCGTGTTAGCATTCAAGTCACAGAGTTGAACATTCCGTTTCATGGAGCAGGTTTGAAACACTCTTTTTGTGGAATCTGGAAGTGGACATTTGGATCGTTTTGAGGCCTGTGGTGAAAAAGGGAATATCTTTGCATAAAAACTAGACACAAGTATTCTCATAAACTAGTTTGTGATGTGTTTGCTCAACTAACAGAGTTGAACCTTTCTTTTGATACAGCAGTATTGAAACACTCTTTTTGTAGAATTTGCATGTGGATATTTGGACAGCTTTGAGGATTTCGTTGGAAACGGGAAAATCTTCATATGAAATAGAGACACAAGCATTCTCAGAAACCTCTTTGGGATGTTAGCATTCGAGTCACAGAGTTGAACATTCCCTTTCATAGAGCAGATTTGAAGCACTCTTTTTGTAGTATCTGGAAGTGGACATTTTGATCGCTTTGAGGCGTAAGGTGAAAAAGGAAATATCTTGCCACAAAAACTACACAGAAGCATTCTCAGAAACTACGTTGTGATGTGTTTACTCAGCTAACAGAGTTGAACCTTTCTTTTGATAGAACAGTTTTGAAACACTCTTTTTGTAGAATCTGCAGGTGGATATTTGGATACCTTTGAGGATTTCCTAGGAAAAGGGAATATCTTCATATAAAATCTAGACAGAAGCATTCGCAGAATCACCTTTTTGATGTTTGCATGGAAGTCAGAGAGTTGAACATTCCCTTTCATAGAGCAGCTTTGAAACACTCTTTTTGTAGTATCTGGAAATGGACATTTAGATCTCTTTGAGGTCTATGGTGAAAAAGGAAATATCTTCGCCTAAAAACTAGACGGAAACAGTCTTCAAAACTTGTTTGGAATGTGTGTACTCAACTAACACAGTTGAATCTTTCTTCTCATAGAGTAGTTTTGAAACACTCTTTTTGTAGAATCTGCAAGTGGATATTTGGATAGCTTAGAGGATTTCGTTGGAAACGGGAATATGTCCATAGAAAACCTAGACAGAAGCATTCTCAGAAAAATCTCTGTGAGGATTGCATTCAAGTCCCAGAGTTGAACATTCCCTTTCATAGAGCAGGTGTGAACACGAGATTTTGTAGTATATGGAACTGGACGTTTGGAGTGCTTTGTGACCTATTGTGAAAAAGGAAATATCTTCCCATATAAACTAGGCAGTAGCACTCTCAGAAACCAGTTTGTGATGTGTGTAGTCAACTAACAGGGTTGAACCTTTCTTTTGAGAGAGCACTCTTGAAACAGTCTTTTTGTAGACTCTGCAAGGGGATATTTGGATAGCTTTGAGGACTTTGTTGGAAAGGGGAATACCTTCATATAAAATCTAGACAGAAGCATTCTCAGAAACATCCTTGGGATGTTTGCATTCAAGTCACAGAGTTGAACATTCCCTTTCATGGAGCAGTTTTGAAACACTCTTTTTGTGGAATCTGGAAGTGGACATTTGGATCGCATTGAGGCCTAAGGTGAAAAAGGGAATATCTTCGAATAAAAACTAGACAGAAGCGTTCTCATAAACTAGTTTGTGATGTGTGTGCTTAACTAACAGAGCTGAACCTTTCTTTTCATAGAGCTGTTTTGAAACACTCTTTTTGTAGAATCTGCATGTGGATATTTGGAAAGCTTTGAGGATTTCGTTGGAAATGGGAATATCTTCATATAAAATCTATGCAGAAGCATTCTCAGAAATATCTTTGGCGTGTTATCATTCAAGTCACAGAGTTGAACATTCCGTTTCATGGAGAAGGTTTGAAACACTCTTTTTGTGGAATCTGGAAGTGGACATTTGGATCGCTTTGAGGCCTGTGGTGAAAAAGGGAATATCTTTGCATAAAAACTAGACACAAGTATTCTCATAAACTAGTTTGTGATGTGTTTGCTCAACTAACAGAGTTGAACCTTTCTTTTGATACAGCAGTTTTGAAACACTCTTTTTGTACAATTTGCATGTGGATATTTGGACCGCTTTGAGGATTTCGTTGGAAACGGGAAAATCTTCATATGAAATCGAGACACAAGCATTCTCAGAAACCTCTTTCGGATGTTAGCATTCGAGTCACAGAGTTGAACATTCCCTTTCATAGAGCAGGTTTGAAACACTCTTTTTGCAAAGTCTGCAAGGAGATATATGGATAGCTTTGAGGATTTCGTTGGAAACGGGAATATCTTCATATAAAACCTAGACAGAAGCATTCTGAGAAACATCTTTGGGGTGGTAGCATTCAAGTCACTGAGTTGAACGTTCCTTTTCATAGAGCAGGTTTGAAACACTCTTTTTGTGGAATCTGGAAGTGGACATTTGGATCGCTTCGAGGCCTGTGGTGAAAAAGGGTATATCTTCACATAAATACTAGACAGAGGCATTCTCATAAACTAGTTTGTGATGTGTTTGCTCAAATAACAGAGTTGAACCTTTCTTTTGATAGAGCGGTTTTGAAACACTCTTTTTGTAGAATTTGCATGTGGATATTTGGGCAGCTTTGAGGATTTCGTTGGAAATGGGAAAATCTTCATATGAAATCGAGACACAAGCATTCTCAGAAACCTCTTTGGGATGTTAGCATTCGAGTCACAGAGTTGAACAGTCTCTTTCACAGAGCAGGTTTGAAGCACTTTTTTGTAGTATCTGGAAGTGGACATTTTGATCGCTTTGAGGTGTAAGGTGAAAAACGAAATATCTTGCCACAAAAACTACACAGAAGCATTCTCGGAAACTACGTTGTGATGTGTTTACTCAACTAACAGAGTTGAACCTTTCTTTTGATAGAGCAGTTTTGAAACACTCTTTTTGTAGAATCTGCAGGTGGATATTTGGATAGCTTTGAGGATTTCCTTGGAAAAGGGAATATCTTCATAGAAAATCTAGACAGAAGCATTCGCAGAATCACCTTTGTGATGTTTGCATGGAAGTCAGAGAGTTGTACAATCCCTTTCATAGAGCAGCTTTGAAACACTCTTTTTGTAGTATCTGGAAATGGACATTTAGATCTCTTTGAGGTCTATGGTGAAAAAGGGAATATCTTCGCCTAAAATCTAGACGGAAGCAGTTTTCAAAACTTGTTTGGAATGTGCGTACTCAACTAACAGAGTTGAATCTTTCTTTTGATAGAGCAGTTTTGAAGCACTCTTTTTGTAGAATCTGCAAGTGGATATTTGGATAGCTTAGAGGATTTCGTTGGAAACGGGAATATGTCCATATAAAACCTAGACAGAAGCATTCTCAGAAAAATCTCTGTGAGGATTGCATTCAAGTCCCAAATTTGAACATTCCCTTTCATAGAGCTCGTTTGAAACACTCTTTTTGTAGTATCTGGAAGTGCACATTTGGAGCGCATTGAGGTCTATGGTGAAAAAGGAAATATCTTCCCATAAAAAGAAGACAGAAGCATTCTCAGAAACTTGTTTAGGATGTGTGCACTCAACTAACAGAGTTGAAACTTTCTTTTGATAGAGCAGAACACTAAATTGAAGTTTAAAATAATTGTAACAATTCCATCTTATATAGCAGGTCAGATTTCATAGTTTGGTTCAAGTAGTTTTCAAGTGACAAATTTTCAAGGTTTTTAGTTTTCAAGAGTTGTGCAACTTCGTCAGCCAGAAATCAAGCAAAAGGCTAGATAAGTAGCAGCAGGTGCGGGATTCTTGATATTGAAACTTTTAGGACTTTTCTCCTTAGGGATTCCAATGTTGTACATTTTATTTCCAGTATAACCCCTATGCATAGGATAAAGTAGTTTCACATGTTTGATTTTTCTAATTAGTTATTTGGGTCTCAAAATGTCCAGTTTATCAAAACATCTTGTGCTGTGTACTGGGGACTATCTACTATAGCCTGATCATTGAATTTTTCAAGAACTTAAAGGGTTCCCTAAGTCCAAGGAAGACAATCAGCGTCTACAGGTCAGGAGGAGAAGGGGAAAGGGCATTCTAATCATTGCTTTGTTTTCATTGATTCTGTTGTTGCTTTCTTGCCATTGAAAGTACTCTTGCAGTCTGGTAATCATTATCCTTTGCCACCAGGATGCCCTTTCTATTTGAGATCCCTCAATCTTCATGTTGATCCATAAAAAGGCTTCAAAGTTACAACCATTTTTTTTAGTTCCCAGACTAACAAAAATAATCTAGCTTTTTGTCTTGACTACCAACCACTCTGGATTTTTGTTTTTTTTTGAGATGGAGTCTCGCCCTGTCGCCCAGGCTAGAGTGCAGTGGCGCGATCTTGGCTCACACAACCTCCACCTCCCAGGTTCAAGCAATTCTCCTATCTCAGCCTCCCAAGTATCTGGGACTATAGGCACACACCACCACGCCCGGCTAATTTTTGTATTTTCAGTAGAGATGGGGTTTCACCATGTTGGTCATGCTGCTCTTGAACTCCTGACCTCAGGGGATCCACCTGCCTTGGCCTCCCAAAGTGCTAGGATTACAGGCATGAGCCACCATGCCCGGCCCACTCTGGATTTAAGGACACTTCTTCCTTCAATCAGCAGCCAAGGAGTCCTGATTCCTGATTCTAATTAAGAAGTTTAACTTGGTATTCTATTTCTGATGGAAGGATGGCTGAAAGAAGGGAGACTCAAACAACAGATGAAGGCAAAATACTCTGTACTGAATTTTCAATGTAATCTTAAATTCAATGCTTAATTGAGATGACCCAAATTCTTTTTTTTTTTTTTTTTTTTGATACGGAGTCTCACTCTGTTGCCCAGGCTAAAGTGCAGTGGCATGATCTCGGCTCACTGCAACCTCCGCCTCCTGGGTTCACACCATTCTCCTGCCTCAGCCTCCCAAGTAGCAGGGACTACAGGCGCCCGCCGCAACACCTGGCTAATTTTTTGTATTTTTAGTGGAGACGGAGATGACCCAAATTCTTAACTGCCTCATAAATACTGTTAATATATTGAAAGTTTTGCCCTAGGCTTTTATTAAAGTCAACTATATAGAAAAAGTTTCTCCTATCTTGAAATGTATTATTAAAGACATCATCCCCAATAATATTCCATATTCTCTGTTTAGGAACCCCAATTGTTTTCAAATTCAAGAATTCAGAGAAATCTACTTGTTACAAAAGAGTAGAATGGATAATGGGCACCACATCCTGAAGTGTATTTTAATAAAAATTCATGTAAGATGGTTCAAAATTTCATTAACTACTTTATATAAAAAAAATGCCTGGGAGAATTCTGTTTCTAGCAGAGTGGCAGACTGATGCCTTGAACAACCCTCTTATTACAAAACTGAATACTCCACATGAAAACAAATCTTTTCAAATGCATTGTTAAGCTGTGAAGAGAATAACGAAAATTCTAAGAAACCAAAATCTAAATGAAAACACAAGTCCAGGCAGGCACTGAAAACCTAAAAAAAAAAAAGAACTGAAGAGGCCAATTGTTGGCAAGCATGTGGAACAGCAGGAACTCTTTAAGCTGCTGCTGGTGGCGGAGGCCAAGCCACTGTGCTCCCCGAACACAACACAGAAGCCTCCACACTGAAGCAGAGCACAGGTGCCCTGGAGTCTCCACCCCACCCAGGGATCCTCCAGCAGAAGTGTGTGTGCCCCTGCATACCTGCAAGTCCCATATCCAGACCTAGTGTTCAGGGCCGTGGGATAACAGCCAAAAATAGGAAATCATTTTACTCATCAATGGAAAAATGGTGACACAGTCATATAATGGAACTCAACAATGACGATAAATCAATGTCTGCCATAGACAAGAACATGGATGTGTTCTGTAATACTGAACCAAAGAAGCCAGGCTAAATAGAATGTGCTGTATTTTATAGAAGTCAAAACCAGGCAGAACAAATCTACATCAGGAACTGGGAAAGTAGCTATTTTGTAGGTTGGGGCAGCAGTGCCTGGGAGAGGCCACAGGTCAAGGCTACTGCTTGGTCCAGGGCGTGGCAGCCTGGTGTGCTACAGTTCATCTAGATGCACACTTATGATTCGGGCACTCTTCTGTATGTACATTAACATTTCAATAAAAAGCTTATTAAAACATTAAAACTTTCAGAAAAATCCACATTGCTTCAGTAGAAATTAGCACATTAACGTTTAAAAAATACATGTATATGGTGGGGGAAAAAATAGTTCAAAAGAGTATCCAGTGAAAAGTTTAAGAGGGAGTGATGCCAGCAAGGGGCTGATCAATAACCCCTTGCACTCATCCCCTGACAAAGACAGCCAAAGCAGCAAACAGCTATATTTTGATGAAAGTCACTAAAGGAGAGCCCCAGAGTGCATCAAGGAGTAGCAGAAATCCAGTAGAGCCCGGAAAACAGGACAGTCACATAAAGGAGGGAAGGAAACATCTGGCCCCCACCACCCATTCCCCCAGAGGGATCAGCCTGAAGCAGAGGGGATGTCTCCCTGCAGGGATAAGGAAGCAAGAGGGGCCCAGTAGCCCCAGCACTCCCCTCAGAGAAGGAACTGACATTGTGCCCCACCCCCATGGACCAGCTGCTGCTGCAACGTGCCCTCCTGGACCTGGACCACTTCGGGAGCATGTCCCACCCAGGGTGAGCAGCCACCGCACCCTTCTTCCATCCTCAGGCTTTGTTGCTCTATATCACACCCACCTAGTGGCCCACCACCCCCGAGCCGCTGTTACACTGTCTTAGGCCATTTAGTGTGGCTGTAACACAATACTTGAGACTCGGGGTAACTTATTTTATAAAAAAGGTTTATTTGGCTCACCCTGCTTGTGTCTGAAAAGTCCGAGATCGGGCAGCACAACTGGCGAGGGTCTTATGCTGCTTCATCTCATGGGGAAAGTGGAAGGCGAAACAGGTGTATGCAAGGGGCTCACATGGCAAGAGAGGAAACACGAGAGTCTAGGAAGCTGAACTCACTCTGATAACAATCCACTCCTGGTAACTAATCCAGTCCCATGAAAAGGCATTAATCTATTCATAAAGGATCTGCCCTGTGACCCAAATAACTCCCACTAGGCCCCACCTCCCACACCACCACATTTGGAATCAAATCTCAAATGGATGAAATTTCAAATGGCTGGTGGGAACAAATGATGTCCACATCACAGCATACACCCCACCTGCGGGGCCACGCTGCTGTGCCCCTCCCCTCCCAGCTGCCATTGCGCCCTGCCCCTTGGAGCCTGAGCTGACTTGGTGCCCTGCTTTCCAGGGAGTCAGTGCCTTGGCCAGTCTGAGCAGTCACATCCCCCACTGCACGAGAGCTGAAGCACTGCCCTGCTTCACAGGGAATCAGTGACTTGGCTGAGCTGAGCAGCCACACCTGCCAGGGATGAGCCAACATGGCACCCCCATATCCCAGGAAAACAGCATTGGCTGAACTGGGGTACCTTGCCCTTCAGGACAAACAACTGTAGAACCCTGCTTCCTTGGAACTGGACTAGCCCTAGAGAATCTGAGTTGCCCAGGCACCTGCCTCCCCAGGGAGAGAAGTAGTTGCTGCACTGGTCCCTGCCCCCAAGGGCCCAAGCCACAGTAGTGCTCCACCATTCTGGGGTCCTTGCTGATGCTGCGCCTGGCCTTACAGAGACTGAGATGCTGCTGTGTCCCACCACTGCAGGGTCCAGAGTCACTATCATGTCACTCCCATGTCCAGAGCCACTCCCATCCCCTGGGAGTTTACTTCTTAAACTCTTCGCAAAAACAGAGTGAGAGGAAATAATTCCAAACACATTTTACCAGGCCAGTATCACCTTAATACCTAAGCCAAACCAAAACACACACACACACACACACACACACACACACACACACACACACACACCAAACAAAAACTACAGGTCAACTTCTCCAATAAATTAAATACTGATGCAAACATCCTAAAAAAATTTTAGCAAATAGAATTCAACAACACATCAAAAACATTATACATCGTGTTTAAGTGGGATTTATCCCTGGCATGCAAGGCTGGTTTAAAATATGTAAATCAATCAATGTGATATATCACATTAACAAAATGAAAGATAAAATGACATGGTCACCTCAATTGATTCAGTAAAAGCATTTAACAAAGTTTAGCAACCTTTCTTGATAAAACCTCTTAATAGTTTATGTATAGAAGGAAAGTTCCTCAACATAATAAAGACCATTTATGAAAAACCCACAGTCTAATCATAGTTAGTGGGGAACAACTAAAGCTTTTCCACTAAGATTGAGTACAAGATAGGGATGGCCAGCCTCATCACTTTTATTCAATAGAGTGCTTGCAAGAGCAATCAGATGAGAAAAAAAGGCAACTAAATTAAAGAAGTAAAATTATCTCTATTTGCAGATGACAAGATCCTTTACGTAAAAAACTCCAAAGATTCCACAAAAAACTGTGAGAACTACTAAATCAATTCAGTTAAGCTGCAAGGTATAAACTCAACATATAAAAATCAGTTGCATTTCTGTATACAAATAACCTAGCTGACGAAGCAATGAAGAAAATAATCTCATTTACTATAGCATCAAAGAAAAACAAAAACTTAGGAATAAATTTAACCAAGAAGGTGAGAGATGTGTACACTTAAAAACCATAAAACATTGATGAAAGAAATTTAGACATGAACAAATGAAAAGACATCCTATGTTTATGGATCAGAAGAATTAATATTGTTAAAATGTTCACACTACCCAAAGCAAATATACAGATTTAACACAATCCTCATCAAAGTTCTGATGACATTCTTCACAGAACAGAATAAAACAATCCTGGCCAGGCACAGTGGCTCACGCCTGTAATTCCAGCACTTTGGGAGACCGCAGTGGGCGGATCACGAGGTCAGGAGTTGGAGACCAGCCCGGCCAACATAGTGAAACCCTGTCTCTACTAAAACTACAAAAATTGGCCAGGCATAGTGGCATGTGCCTGTAGTCCCAGCTACCTGGGAGGCTGAGGCAGAAGAATTGCTTGAATCCAGGAGGCAGAGGTTTTAGTGAGCCGAGATTATGCCACTGCACTCCAGCTTGGGTGACAGAGTGAGACTTCACCTCAAAAAAAAAAATAAATAAATAAAAGAAAAGAAAAAACAATCCTGAAACTCATATGGAACCGCAAAAAACCCCAAACAGCCAACAGATAACTGTGAAAGAAAAAGTTGGAGGCATCACACCTCTTGATTTAAAATTGTATTACAAAGCTATAGTAATCAAAACAGTATGGTGCTGGCATAAAAACAAAAAAATAGACCAATGGAACAGAACAGAGACCTTTGAAATAAATCCAAACATATACTGTCAACTAATTTTTGACAAGGGCAAACAAGACAACACAATGGTAAAAAAGATAGTTTCTTCAATAATAGGATTTTCACATGCAAAAGAATAAAATTCGACCCTGATCATACACCATACACAAAAATCAACTCAAAACAGATACAAGACCAAAGACCCAAATAAGACCTGAAACCATAAAACTCCTAGAAGAAAACATAGGGGGAAAGCCTCTTGACATTGGCCTTAGCAATAATTTTTTGGATATCGCACCACAAGCCAGGCTACAAATGTAAACATAAACAAGGAGGACTGCATCAAACTAAAAAGCTTCTGCACAGCAAAGGAACAACCAACAAAATGAAAGGGGAACCTATAGACTGGAAGAAATATTTGCAAACCACATATCTGATAAAGTGTTAATATCCAAAAATCAGTAAAGAACTCTTACAACTTAATAGCAGAAAAACAACCCAGTTGAAAAATGGGCCAAATAGGAAATGACCAGTAGGAAATGGGGAGATGTACATTAAAATAATACAAAGTAGCAGACATGTAGGATGAACAAGTTAGAGATCTAGTGTACATCATGAGGGCTATAGTTAATAAAAATATATTGTCTTTGGGATTTTTGTTAAATAAGTAGATTTTAGCTGTTCCTGTCACACAAACAAAAATCTAACTATGTGAGATGGTAGCTATGTTAATTTGCTTCACTATAGTAACCAGTTTACTATCTATATTTATCCTTTAAGATCATGTTGTCAACCTCAAATATATAAAATAAAATTTATTTTAAAAAAGAAAAGTTTGTCTTCAATCCAGAAAGAACCACTATTACCATTTTTTGGTGTTCCATTCCAAAATATCCCACAAATATACAATTGTTCAATCAAATTTAACATTAGACTTTATACTTGAACATTCAAAGTACGTAAGAAATTATAGAAAAGTGTCTGCGTGACTCCCTGTCTGTAGGGCACAGGCTTCATCTCCACTAACACACACACGACCAGTACCTTATACAGAGAGTCCTTGTTTGTCTTTAGTCTGACACCATGGGCGAGCCCGAGGTGGCCCGTGGTCCACATTCCTGACCAGGTGTCTTTCTCACCCACTGGTTTCAACAAAGATGTTACTGGGTTATAGAAGGCTGGGATGGAAACAGGATACCAAGTTCGCATGAAGACAATATCTGAAAAGAGGTAATTTACTTTAACATTTTCAAAAGAAGATTCATATCCATACTGCAAAGAAACAAAGAACAAAACCTTCACTCCAAACTTCTCTACCTGGCTGCAAAGTATTTGAAGGGAAAGCTCGCTAAGGAAACTATTCTCATAGATCACAGAACTGTTACTGGGTGTGGCCAGGGGGCTGCAGACACCAGGCGAATGGGCACACCGCATAAGACTGGGAGATCTAAGGCTGGAGCTGCTCAACTCTCTGGAGACCTGACTCCAGCCTCTCGTCACACTGGCTAGAAGTCAAGCATGAATGGTAACGCCCTGCCCTGAACACTACTTAAGACACTCACCGCTCATCCACAGCTTATCCTCAAAGCTAGCCTGGAAAGCTCCTTCTGGAGCTCAGAGTGCTCTCTTGATCTGCCCCCTTATCCCACTGACAGTTCGAATCACAGCATCTTCAAATTTGGCCACTTCCAAGGCAGAATTAAACATTCCCTACAGGTATAGCAAGATAAACACACACACACACACAAAATCGTATACTTTATGCTTTACTTCTTACTTCAAACATACATCCTTGATTAAAGAACAAAAACAACTCACTGAAGGGTGATAAAATAATCAAAATGTATTTGCCCCTGAAAGTGGAATTACTACCTCAAAAAGAATACAACTCTTTCATTTTCCCCAAAATAATCATGTGAGTTCACGGGCATGCTCATCACTGCTGTCTGTGTGGGAGAGAAGATTGAAGAGGGATTTACTGGACTGAATTGGCCTAGGAAGCCTTTGCTGGCATCTCTCAGACTGGACTGCAGCCCAGATCCTTTTACTCAGATGCATGCACTTAGAACATGAAAACATAAGATAAACGCCGGTGGTATTATTACCTTATATTGCAAGAACATTTTATGACTTCCTAACTCTGTGTTTTCAATAGAAACATCCCCACTAATGAAATTGTCAATAAATGCTGCTCAAACCACCCTCCCCAAATACTGTAAAACAGTACATCCGTTTCTCTGTACCCTTGCCAAGTTGTCTGCAAATGCTTTGTCGGTTTTTCTACTGAGTTAGACAAACTTGTGATTTTTTTCCCTTTCTTAACACCAATTTAAAAAGTAGGAAACAAAACCTAGTGGATAAAATGACATATTTTCAATATGAGTTCCGTGGCAGTCTCACATGGAAGTCAGGAGTAACAGCCTCAATTCCTAAATAGCTGTTTACCACTGCTTTTTTGAGCATATTTAAGTAATACAGAATATAAAGGAGCAAACAAAATATGAAGTTTATAAAAGATTTCAAACACTTTTCTAAAAATATGAGGCCCACATTTTAGAGGTATTTCATTCCTTTTCTCAAACAATATGGACATTTATAAATATGAGAATATATAGATATACAGACCTTAATAAATGAAGTGTTCTTGAAAATTTTATATGGAAAACCAGTTAGCTTTAATTTCTTCACAATTTTTATGGATTTATCCAGATCAAGGACAACTCCTGTGGCAGCTATCCGAAAATCAGGCTAACAGGAGCCCCAAAATTTGAAAATAGGAATAATATTAGCAAGAGAAAAACTTCAATTCTATGTAACACAATAAATTACCAAAGTGAACTTTACTTACAATTAGCTAAGAAAAACAAGAGAGACCATCTGAACTTGCAACCCAGTGGTTTGACAAAAGCAATCCAAAACTTTAAAGTTGGTAAGCCAAACTAACAAGGGTGACTTGAGGCCAGGCACAGTGGCTCATACCTGTAATCCCAGCACTTTGGGAGGCCAAGGCAGGTGGATCACCTGAGGTCAGAAGTTTGAAACCAGTCTGGCCAACATGGCAAAATTCCATCTCTACTAAAAATACAAAAATTAGCTCGGCATGATGGTGCACACCTGTAATCCCAGCTACTCGGGAGGCCGAGGCAGGAGAACCACTTAAACCCAGGAGGCAGAGGTTGCAGCGAGCCAAGATCGTGCCACTGCACTCCAGCCTGGATGACGGAGTGCGACTCTGTCTCAAAAAAAAAAAAAAAAAAAAAAAGAAAAGAAAAAGAAAAAAGAAAAAAAAAGGCTACTTGAGTACTTTCCTGAGAGTGATTTCAGAGGAATGTAATTTTACTATAATGATTTATTTGGAACGAAATGGAAAAGAAAAATACAGTTGCAATGTTTAGAAAATTAAAATTTGGACCTCCAGGGAAGATTCCATCTGCTCATTATTCTGCTTTCTTCTCTGTTAAATGGGACCAGTAAACCCTGCCCTGCCTGACTGGTCAAATGAAAATGGAGTGAACAGACTGCTACCCCAGCACAGCTGCAGGGAGTCTTGTGTCTGGGTGGTCTCTGATGGCTCCTCATAACCTCATATAGTGCTTAGCACACGGTGAGCACTGCTTAAATACTTGCTTAGATAAATAAATGCAAAAGATGCACAAAAATAGGAAATGTACCATTATAATTCTTCCACCTCCCCTCCTCTAATCCCACACCCTACTGAAAAGGATGTACAAAGATTAAAAGCAAAGGGAAATTTACTTTATAATAATAAAAATGAGTAATTTTCAACTTAAAGTCTCATGTACATAATAACCCACATTCAGGATATATTTCTCAAACCAATCTGTAAAAGAAATTGTCCAAGATAGTTACCATTATGCCACTGACAGACTGTATTGCCAAGAAACCAGTTCCCTGTGGAGTGATAGGGTCTTAAAGGAAAAGGAAAAAAAGAAATATAGCAAACCAGAAATTTTAGATTCTAGTTTAACATACTGGATACGGACATTTAGATTTGGATATAGATTTACATATATACTCCAAACCACCTCCCCGCTCCCAGAAAACAGAAACATCTTAGGAGTGGAATTTTATGAAAGGAAAAGCACAAAGCTAAAATAACGCAGCCTGTAAAGTTTAATCTCGGCAATAGGCAAGTTATTGTAATCATATTTTACCCCAAAAGGCTGCTCCACAATGCATGTGCTGTGGGGTATACTTTAGAAGCCTTTGTCTTCCATTGTGGTCTTCAATATAATAGAGCAGGATGGTCTGAAACCTCCTCCACCCTACAGAAAATATGATTGGATCTTGGGACTTGAGGATTTTCTTATACCAGCGATGTTTCTTCAGACGCATCTGAGGGGGATGAGAGGGTAAGATGACTGATGGAGGGGAAATCCACAGAGCCTCAGGCACCAAATATGCAGCAAAGGGACCCACCTGCACGTGTCCAACATTTCCCTCGCTGTTGCCCAAGCCACCCAGGATAATGGGGTAATGGGGGTCAAAGTTCTGCACAAATTCACAGGGAACATTTTCAATCTCAACGCGGACGTACATCCCAGGTCGAAAACCATCATACTGAACTCTGGCTTCATCATCTTGATCTTCAAATTCTACGTGATTCAGCTGTACATGACGGGGTGGGGGGAGGGGGGAGAAACCTGTATGCTGTTATTTGTAATAAACATAGGATTAACATGAACAAATAAGCAATTTCTAAGTAAAGGAACTGTGGACAGAATTATGTAGGCTTTATCCTATTAAAAATACTACACATTTGGCCGGGTACAGTGGCTCATGCCTGTAATCCCAGCACTTTGGGAGGCCGAGGCGGGCAGATCACATGAGGTCAGGAGTTTGAAACCAGCCTCGCCAACATGGTGAAACCCTGTCTCTACTAAAAATACCAAAATCAGCTGGGCATGGTGGTGCGTGCCTGTAGTCCCAACTACTCAGGAGGCAGAGGTGAGAGAATCGCTTGAACCTGGGAGACGGAGGTTGCAGTGAGTCAAGATCGTGCCACTGCACTCCAGCCTGGGCAATAGAGCGAGATTCCATCTCAAAAAACAAAAAAACAAAAAAAACCTACACATTTTACCTCTACAGTCTGTTCAGAATATGTCCCAACCATTTTCTTCTCTCCTGCTCCAAGGGACAGCAAATGTAGATAACTGTGGAGCCCTGCGTGCTCGAACATTGGAAACATCCCCAGTCCACACTTTCTTTCCTTCCTCTCCAAATAATTCTTTCACACTTTTCCCTTGTCTTCAAACACCCACCACCACCCTCACCTTCACTCAGCTGATGGCTGTTTCCTGATTCACTCCAAAACCAAAAGAACCTCTAAGGTCAACCCTCTACCAGGGTTTCCTCCCATATCCAGCCTTATCAGAGCTCTGACCTGGCCCATAGAGGAGCTATGTGTGGCTATTTAAATTAAAATTAATTACAATTACATAATATTTAAAATGCAGTTCCTCAATCACACTAGTCACACTGGAAGTGGTCCATATCAACTTGCGGCCAGTGTTACAATATTGGGAAGCACAGACGTGCATCTCCATGATCACAGAAAGTTCTACGGGCAGCTCAGGCACAGATGATTTGTCCATGCCTCTACTCAGGGCCACACATCACTTGCACACTAGACACCATCCACTCTTCCTGGACTTCATTCCAACAGCTCTTCCCTCTGTTCTCTCTCTTACCTCAAAACCTTTTGATTCCACTTCTTCCACCAAAAACTGCTTCATTTCTCTGCTTCTCTCTGCAGCAAAACCCCACAAAAGTTTTCCACAGTTGCAGCCTCCAGTTCCTCTGCTCCCATTCTCCTACATCCATGAAAATTGGTGTTTGCCAAGATCGCTGAAGGCCTCCACGCTGAAGGACTCCTCCAGTGGTCAACTCTGCCTTTACCGTAGTTAACACTGCAGCGGGATCTGAACAGTGCTTCGCCTCCGTGTACAACTGGACTCCTGCGTGCCTGCATGCTCACACTGCTTCTCCCTCTCCCTCCTAGGCACTGCTCAGGCCTCACGGCCGCAATCGCCCCATCTCGCCCATGCCAGTCTTCCTCCTCCCAGTCACTCTGCACTCACTCCCCGGCCACCTCACAGAGTTAAGTGGCATCTACATGCTGAGGGCTGTACATCTAAGTCCCTGGCCAGACCTGTCTCTCCAGACTTGACACTCCGCTTGTCTGCATGATACCCAGCCGAACCAAACATCATCTTCCCAAAACTGCATCTGCAGACAGTTTCCTATCTAACCTGCAACAACCCATCCTTCCAGGAACTTCCAGTCGCCATCCTCATTTCCTCTCACACACCCCACATTCAGTCCACCAGGAAATCCTACTGACCCAGCTTCCAAATAAACTCTATCCGCGTTTGACTCTTTGTCTCATCTCCACTGCCAGCCCTCTGGTTTGTGCCACCGGACTGATCTCTACCAGACTGATGTCTTGGCAGAGTGATCTGATTACCAGAATGTCTCTCCTCTGCTCAAAACCCTCCAAGGACTCCCATTTCAGAGTGAAACATTCAGTCTTTTCCAATGGCCCACAAGGCTCTAGGTAATTTTAAATTGTAAATGGTGTGAAGCAAAAACTTCAGAGTTAGCCTAGTCATGCCTTTCAAAGGTCAACACAGACTAGCAACCACTAAGCTAATGCCTAATCAGGAAACAGTCCTTTGACTAGATGAAGATCTAGGATGAAACTCCGTTTCACAAATCATATACCTAATCTGTTCCAGCTTACACAGGCACTCCTGGCCTCACTAACAAGACGCAACTCAGATGCTCACCATCAACTGTACACACGTTTCTGTGTCTGTCTCCTTCAGAGTGACATCACTGTCTCCAGCAACCTGCTCAGCAACCCCAGGCAGGAGGGCCACACCATCTCCCTTTATCTCCGCATCTGACCTTATACTCCACGTGTCCTTCTGAACTCTGACCAGGATGAGTTTTCAGAGCACTTCCCCTGGGAGCTCTGGTGTGTCCATAAGCCACACGGGCCACTGATCACCTGCCATTCAAATCAGGGAGCAGCGATCGGAATAGGCAGCATTGGCTTGCACTGAAATGAACACACTGTCTCAGATCACTACATTGTAAAAGTCTCAAAAGTAGAGACCATGTCTCAGTCATTTCGGTTTCCTAATTCTTGTTACAAAATAGGTATGGATCTTTTTCTGGTGATCTTCTGACTGTAGAAACAATGAGCTCACTGCATGAATAAACATACTCACATGCATCTACCCAGGAGTCCAAATGAAAGGCACAGAAGCAGGATAGGAAGCAGGGACCCAAAGACAGTCAGGGATTCCTGCACTATGTGATAGTCTTGACAAGGGGCTGAGAGGAACTGAGGTTTCTCACCTGTGCTTCTTTCTGCATTTCTCCTTTAAGATCATCAAAATATGTGCTTTCTCCTTCATCATATTCCGCATCAAACATCTCCTTCAATTTTCTCTTCTTATCCAAATGCTTTTTCTTGGCACTTTCTTCTTCGTCGGGGTCAATTTCTTCCTTGTTTCTCTATATCTTCATTCTTAAATTTCCAGAAGAAAAAATTTTGTGTATGTTTATGAAGGTCTTTTCTTTAAACATTACATTTTTTAAAGTTCTATTTAAACAAAAATCTTAGCAAAAATCTGTTATCGTTATCAATAAAACAAAACAAAACACAACATAATCTTTGTCTCTGAATAACATGGTACTGCTACAGGAAATTGTTACATCTGCATTACAATTAGCTGCTATTCCTTAAGCTGGCTGGGAACACAAACTAGAATAAAAATAACAGACATGTCCCTCACCCAGATGCTCCCAGACCCTGTTCTAAAGAAATATTAGGGAGAACAGGAACTTCATTCTTTTAAATGACACTTAAATTTAAAAAGAGGAGAATGATGGCAATGGTTGAATGTAAGTCTGAGAAGCTAAGACTTCTGTGAGTGAAAAATCACAGTAGTCTTGGCAAATGACTATGGCAAGAAACAGTAGTAACTGTCGTCCAAAACTTAACAAGTAAACAAGAAAGCTTCTCTTTGGTCCCCACATCCCCACCCTTTAGGAAGGAATCTATCCATCCAGTCTGCAATCTTCACACATCACAAGTAAGATTTGCATTTCTCAATGTGGGCCTCTCTCAGAACACAATGACCAAGAACAGCCAGCTACGACAAAGTCATACCTGAGTGTCGGGGCCCGATTTTCCCTTGTGCATGTCCCCTGTTTCCAAGTCTTCAAAGTCACCGTAGAGCTCCTCTGGGAAAAGAACACCCAAAGGCTGCTCTGTGAGCCAGGCATGCATGTGCTGCTGGCGCCACCCACGACAGGCCCACAATGCGCTCCGCGTTCCAAGCCTCATTCTTACTGTTCCCGTCACTAGACACACAGGCAAAACTTTGCACTAGGGAATGCTTCGTAAAACAGTATTTCATCATCTGTTTAGGTAAACTAAATTGACCCAATCCACATTTCCGCACTTCATGTCAAAAATCCCAATCTCAATTTTTCCAGTATAGATAATGGACACTCTTTCGTTTTTGTTTTTTTTTTTTTTTTTGGAGACGGAGTCTCACTCTGTCACTCAAGCTGGAGTGCAGTGGCACGATCTCAGCTCACTGCAACCTCTGCCTCCCAGGTTCAAGCAATTCTACTGCCTCAGTCTCCCGAGTAGCTGGGATTATAGGCACCCGCCACCAGGCCTGGCTAATTTTTATATTTTTAGTAGAGATGGGATTTCACCATATTGGCCAGGCTGGTCTTGAACTCCTGACCTCGTGATCTGCCCTCCTCAGCCTCCCAAAGTGCTGGGATTACAGGCATGAGACACTGCAACCGGCCAATGGACACTTTTTATGAAAGACACAGAGGTCTATCTGTGTCCCCCAAATGAATAATTCAAAGAGTGAATGGAAAAGTCCCATGCTGATAACCAGCACATGTGAAAAGGAGTCTCAATGTAAGTTCAACACAACACGATCGTGTAACACACCTAGGGGAAATTTTAGATCATATAAAACATAGCATTTAGATTAAGAGTAGAGCCCCAAACCACACCAAACCCATGGGAAGAGCTTATTCACTCATTCATTCCTTCATTTGTTTTTGGAGCTCTGGGTTCAGTTATAGTTCCCACTCTTAAAAGAAATAGACAAGTAAGGCTGGGTGCAGTGGCTCACACCTGTAAACCCAGCACTTTGGGGGCCCGGGAGGCAGAGGTTGCAGTGAGCCATAATTGCATCACTGAACTCCAGCCTGGGTGACAAAGTGAGACCCTGTCTCAAAAAAAGGAAAACAAAAGAAAGAGGCAAGTTAAAACTCATTTGGGAGAGCAATGTTTAGAAGGCTATTAAAACATTTTCACATAAGGGCCAAAGAACCAGGTAGATGTTATAAAAGATAGGAAGCTCCTATTTGTAATAAAAGCAAAAAAGGATAAAATAGGAATAAACCTAACAAGAAGTGCACCAGAACTTTATTTATTTAAAAAAGAAGAAAAGCTTTAATATGCTACCAAAGGACAAAAGGAATAGCATCACTACCAACACTCGTAAGTGCTCTCCACACCAGGCACTGTGTTAAGTACTTTCATTGCCTTAACCACATTCTTCAACCCAAGGAAGTAGATGTTGTAAATATTATATACTGAATAATGGTATGTCCTCATTTGAAAAGGAAGACTCGACATCACAAATACGCCAATTCTCCCTTTAGCACAGTTACAACCCGAAACCACCACTAAGGATTTCTGGTCTAGAGAAGATAACACATTATACCCTCCTCTAGAAATAATAGACAGGAGATGATCAATGGAGAATTCCGAAAGGTGGACAGAAAAAGGCTGCTGAGGGACTCTAGGACTAGGGAATGCATAGTGGCCAGGTGTCTCCCTGGACCTCATCCAATAGGACGGTGACCCAGGCCCAGAGTTTCCCAACTCCCAACGTAGCAATAGAAGGCAACCCAGGCAGACTCAGTCCCCGCAGATCAAAGGAGATCTTCCCCACAACAAGAAAACCAGCTCCACACACCAACACAACCACCACTCCCCACCCACCTAGCTGCAGCAGGTGGCCCAGCCTGGGGCAGCTCCCCTGTTCCCTCAGGTGGGCAACAGCAGGGACTGGTGGGAGAATCCCAGTGACACATATTAGCCAAACAGACCAAAATAACACCATGAAGGCTCTGAAATTAAATTGCCATTGGAATCACAGCCCACAAAGTAGACCAAGACCTACAGACTAAACCTAAACAGGAGGACTGCCTGCAAAAATAAAAAAATTACATAGGCAGATGTTGGAACCACCTGACTCATCACTTATAACAGTCAGTATAAAAATGCTCAACAAGCAACTACAAATCCTATGTCAACAATCAAAGAACTGAAAACGTCAGCAAAGAAACTGAAGAAGAATCAAATGGAAATTACAGAAATATAAAATACAGTAACAGAAATTTTAAAAAAATCTAACTGGATGGGCTCTATTGAGTAAAAGTGGAGACGACAGAGGAGAGAATCAGAGAAGCTGAAACCTGATCAACAGAATTCACCCAGTCTAAACAATAGAGAGAAAATAACCTGAAAACAAATGAACAGAGCTGCACGGACCTGTGGGACGATAACAAAAGACCCCACATTTATGTTATCTGAGTCCCACAGGAGACCAGAGCTGCGAAAGCATGCAAATAACTAATTCTTGAGGCTTCCCACATTTGGTGAAAGATATAAACTTACAGATTCAAGAAGCTGAGCAAACCTCAAAGTATACCAAAAGAAAGCAACACTGATTAAACTTTCAAAACTAAAAACAAAGAGCAAAAATGGCAGAATGCCTGTAGGGACACGCCAACTCAAATGCCATGGAGGCCAGAAGGAAGTGGCACAACATTTTCAAGTGCTTAAAAAAACCAACCAAACAAAAAAACTGTTGGCTGCAAATTCTATATTCCATGAAACTACCCTTCAGAAATGAAGAGAGAAATATAGACATTCTCAGAGGAAGAGAATATAGGAATTTGTCACTGGTCAATTTAGAAATGCTAAAAAGTGGCTACAGAAATATGTTCTGTCATTTCCACAATACAAAAAATTAAAACAAAAAATCAAAATAAAAAATGGCTACAGAAAGTTCTTATGCAGAAGGGATGAATATGGGACTATGGGAGGAGGGACAAAGGAAAGACCAGAAATGTGGATACATACACGAGACAATCCACAGTTCTTAAAATCACATTTGACGACTGAAACAAAAACTATACCACCACGTACTACTCAAGCCAGTGATTTATACAAGTGGAAAAGGTAAAGAGACATAAATCCAAGGCAGGTTTCCACACTTTGAAGTGGTAAATACTGGTACCAGTAGACTACTATATTACAATACACATATTGTAACATCCAGAGCAAACACTTTAAGACTATACAAACAGATACACGCAACAACATTATACAGAAATAGATCAAGATGGAGGGAAAGAAAAAGGAAACAAGCAAATAATAAAAACATCAGACATAAGCAATTATGTAACAATAAGCACCTTAAATGTAAATGGTCTAAATAAACCAAAAGACAGATTGATGGAGAGCCTATAATAAACACATGGTCCAACTAAATACTGTTCATAAGAAACTTCAAACTCACTTAAGGACCTAAGTAGGTTGAAAGTAAAAGAATGGAGAAAGTTATCCTGTGAAATCATTAATTTTTTAAGGAAGCAGGAGTGAATATATTAATATCTCATGAAGTAGACTTCAAGCAAAATAATTTACCAGAGCTGGAGAGGGTCTTCGCTGAATTTTAAGATCTAAAATTTCCTATGCTGCCTTGACATCTTTGAGCCTCACAGGGCCCCAAAGGCCTAGCTGTGGGTTTTCCTGTTTTTACCAGACACCCCCTACCCCGCCACCCAACAGGAAAGGCTCCCCACCTGGCTAGTTCTTTTATCAGCCAGAACAGTTGCACCTCAGCCTAAGAAGTTTCACTTCACCTGTCTGCCAGCCCATGAATTTATTCAAACAAGCCAATTGCTCTCCCCCTCGGGAACCATTGGTCATCGTGTGCTCTTGTTACTACCAAGCCTGCCTGCTTCCTCAGCCCCCAGCCCTCACTCCGCTACAGAGTGCGGTGCCCATCTGACCCTGTGTGGCATGCAGTGTCCTCCTCTGAGCTGTGGGTATATGTGACTAAAACACTGCTGTCAATCTCATCCATCCACGCCAGGTGTCGTGTTCAGCCATCTCCTACACTTTAGGGCAGGGACCCCTCCTTCACCAATGGGGTGAAAAGGAAGTGACCATAACAACTGCTTAATGACAAAAGGATTAACCCACCAAGAAGACATCTACTTCAACATCCTCCTCTTAGCAACTGTTAAAACTAGGCAGAGGCCGGGCACAGTGGCTCATGCCTGTAATCCCAGAACTCTGGGAGGCAAAGACAAAGGATAGCTTGAGGCCAGGAGTTCGAGCCTGGGCAATATAGCAAGGCCTCATCTCTCCAAAAAATTTTAAATTTAGCCAGGTGTGCCGGCACACACCTATAGTACCAGCTACTCAGGAGGTTAAGCCAGGGGAAGTACTTGACCCTAGGAAGTCAAGGCTGCAGTGAGTCATGTTCGTGCCACCGCACTCCAGTGTAAGTGACAGAGTGAAACTAGGCAGAAAAGGAGCAAGGATTTACAAAAGATCTGAACAGTCAACCAGCAAAATTTGACATCCGTATAACACCCCACTCCCCAACAGCAAAACACACACATTTTTAAAGCCAATAGAAATCTACCAAGGTGAGGTACGCTTGGGGCAATAAAAGAAATCACAGCAAATCTTGCTGTGCGCCCCTCTGAGCCTGAGCCGGCGCCGGCGCCGTGCCCCTCTCTGCGCCTTCTTTTCTCACCGGGGGAAGCGTTTGGGGGCCTCTTGAGGGACCCCCTAGATGCTTCTACTCAGAGCCCCCAAAGCAGGGGAGCCTCCACTCCTCTGTCTGCAGCCTCCCCTGTCGGTTCTCGCTACCCAGGGTTCAGTGGCCTGGGGGCTGACGGAGGTGGTCGCCTCTGCCAAGGCCCCTCCTGGCACCTCCCTGGCTCATCCAGCCCACCTTCCTCCCACGCTGGCTCACGCAAAGTGCTCTGGTCACCAGGAGCCCTTCCTGACCAGCCCCGGCCCCTTCTTGGCCTTCGCCCATCTGGCCTCCCCTGGAGCCCTGACCTGGGTGCCAGGCCTCCTGGGTCCAGAGCCCACCCCGCCCTGAACAACCCCGAGTCTCAGCCACCCTCAGCTCTTACCCTTTCACAGCTGGGGAGTGGACCTGGGCCTGCGCCTCTCCGCGCCAGCGCCTGCGCTGTGCGCCTCTCCGCGCCTGCGCCGCCGCTGTGCGCCTCTCCGCCGCTGTGCGCCTCTCCGCCGCTGTCCGCCTCTCCACCGCGCCGCCGCTGTCGGCCTCTCCGCCGCGCCGCCGCTGACCGACTCTCCGCTGCGCCGCCGCTATCCGCCTCTCCGCCGCTGTCCGCCTCTCCGCCGCGCCGCCGCTGTCCGCCTCTCCGCCGCGCCGCCGCTGTCCGCCTCTCCACCGCGCCGCCGCTGTCGGCCTCTCCGCCGCGCCGCCGCTGACCGACTCTCCGCTGCGCCGCCGCTATCCGCCTCTCCGCCGCTGTCCGCCTCTCCGCCGCGCCGCCGCTGGCCGCCTCTCCGCCGCGCCAACGCTGGCCGCCTCTCCGCCGCTGGCCGCCTCTCCGCCGCGCCGCCGCTGGCCGCCTCTCCGCCGCGCCGCCGCTGGCCGCCTCTCCGCCGCGCCAACGCTGGCCGCCTCTCCGCCGCTGTCCGCCTCTCCGCCACGCCGGCACCAGCGCTGTGTGCTTTTGCAAGGGCGGAGCTGCGTTCTCCTCGGCACAGACCCGGAGAGCATTGCGAGGGCGGAGCTGCGTTCTGCTCTGCACAGACCTTGGGGCACTGCCTCGCTTTGGGACAACTCGGGGCCGCATCGACGGTGAATAAAATCCTTCCTGTTTGCAGCCATGTTTGTGGTTGGTGGCAGCGATGGACACTGCAGCCAGCCAGAGTGTAGAAAAAGGCATCGGGGTAAGTGCGCTATCCAGGCTGCACTGCTGGTGGCCTGGGACGGGTTGGGAGCCCTATCTCAGGCGTCACTGCCCGTCTTGGGTGACTGGTTGGGTGTGCTATCTGAGGCTGTGCTGCCTGCAGCGGGGGGGCGGTTTGGGGGCTCAAACCGGGGCTACACTGCCTTTGGCGGGGAGCCGGTTGGGGGCACTATCCCAGACTGTATTGCTGGCAACAGTGAGGTGGGTTAAGTGTGCTATCTGGGGCTGCACTGTGCGGCTGTGGGGGGGGTGGCGGTTTGGGGTTGAGGGCGCTATGGGGTGCTGTAATGCCCATGGTGCGGGGAGGCGGGGCAGTTAGGGTATGTTGGGTGTGCTATTGGGGGGGGCGACACTGCTGGTGGTAGGGGGCAGGGTGGGTTGGGGGCCATATCAGGGGCTGCACTGATTGCTTTAGCTAGGATTTCTGGTACTATGTTAAACAACAGTGGTGACAGGGGGCATCCTTATCATGTTCCAGATCTTAGAGGAAAAGCTTTCTATTTTTCCGCATTCCGTATGATTCTAGCTGTGGGTGTCTTTCCTGTAGTTTTTATTATGTTGCGGTATGTTTCTTCTGTGCCCGTTTCTTTGAGGATTTATAGCATGAAGGGATGTTGAATTTCATCAAATGCTTTTTCGGTTTCAGTTGACATGATCATACAGTTTTTGTCGTTTATTTGGTTGATATGATGTATCACATTATATGTTGAGTGACTCTTGCATTCCAAGGATACATCCCACTTGATCATGATGAATTATCTTTTTAATGTATTACTGAATTTGATTCACTGGTATTTTGTTGAGGATTTTTGCATCAATATTAGAGATCCTGGCCTGTAGTTTTCTTCTTTGATGCTTTTATCTGATTTTCGTATCACAGTAATAATGGTCTCATAGAATAAGTTTGGAAGTATTCCCTCCTGTTTTTCAAAATAGTTTGAGCAGGATTCGTACTAGGTCTTTAAATTGTTTGGTGTGAAGCCATCAGCAGTGAAGACATCAGTTCCTGGGCTTTTCTTTACTGGGAGACTTTTTCTGATGGCTTCAATCTCATTACTTGTTACCAATCTGTTCTGGTCTTGGATGTTTTCATTGTTTAACCTAAGTAGGTTGTATGCATCTAGGAATTTGCCAATTTCTGCTAGGCTTTCCAATTTATTGGCATATGATAGCCAGTTATGATCCATTGAATTTCTGAAGTATTAGTTGTAATGTCTCCTTTTTTTAATCTGTTGATTTTATTTATTTGAATCTTGTCTCTTTTCTTAGGCTGGTTAAAAGTTTGTCAATTTTGTTTAGCTTTCCAGAAAACCAACTTTTCGTTTAATCTTGTGTGTTTTTTATTTCAATTTTGTTTCTGCTACGATCTTATTTGTTTTCTTATTTTCGGTTTAGTTTGTTCTTACTTTACTAGTTCTTTAAGATGTATTGTTTATTTGAAGTTTTTCTTTTGTTTGGATAGTAGGCACTTATAGCTGTAAATCTCTGCCTTTGTACTGCTTTCTGCGTAACAAGTTTTGGTATACTGTGTTTTCATTACCCTTTGTTTCATGAAATTTTTGAATTTCTGTCTTAGTATCTTCATTGACCAGCTAGTCATTTATTCAGGAGGGTAGTGTTTAACTTCCATGTGATTGTATTGTTTCCAAAATTACTTTTCTTATTGATACCTAGTTTTATTCCTTTGCAGTGAAAGAAGATGGCCACGGAGACAGACAGCAGCGTGGTCAGAGTGGTAGGAGCCGGCCATCAGCGAGAGCTGCTCCATGCCTGGCTGCTGGGAGCTAGAGCCTGCGGCCCACTGGCTTGCCTCACTGTAGTTGGTGGTGGCGGTGACAGAGACTGCAGCATGACCAGAGTGGTAGGACAGGGGCTATCCAGGGCTGCACCTTTCACAGTGTGGGGTGGGTTGGGGGCGCTATCCAGGGTGTCATTGCCTGCATTAGGGGTACTGGTTGGTAGCACTGCACAGGGCTGCACTGCCCACGGCAGGGAGGGTGGGTTATGGGTGCTTTCTGGGGCTGCAACGCCCATGGAGGAGGACAGGTTAGGGCATATCGGGTATACGCTACTGGCGGCATTGGGGGACGGAGGTGAGGGGCGCTATTGAGGGCAGGACTAGCCGTGGAGCGGGGGCGAGTTCGGTGCTATCAGGGGCTGCACTGCTGGCAGCAGTCAACAGAGTTGGCATCCAAGGAAGGAGTGGTTCTCCTCTCCCTGACTCCACACTCCAGAGGGCGAACCACTCTTGGTCATACTGGAGTGCGGCAGGGCATGCAGCGTTTGCATGGGAATCCTGAGCATGGCAGAGCCCCCACACCCACCGTGGTTCCTGGGCCTGTGCACTCTGGGTCTGTGCCTCAGAGGCTGCCAGGCACCCCTGGGGACACCACGGGGGACTGGGCCCTGTGTGTGGAGGCGTCCGGAACAGGAATTGGCACCTGGGTGCGGAGGGCTGGCTGGGTCTGAATTTGTCTGCTTCTCCTGTTCCCCGAGGAGTGCAGCCCCGGTGGGCCCAATGGTTCCTGTGGAGTGGGGAGCTGGGTGCTGTGGTGTCTCCAGCACCCACCCCAGACCCCAGTTCCCGGCCAGCTTGGGCCAAAAGGAGAGGCTGGACTTTGGAGGGTGGGTGTGAGTGCCTTTGCTGAAACTGGCCCCTGCCACCCAGTGGCCAGCATGACAAGTTGAGGCTCTAACGCTTCCACTCCTCACAACTTCCTCTAGGCTTTTCTGGCTTTGCCCACCCAGCTGCTCCGTGCCAGGAGGAGGAGGAGACACCTAGAGCGTGCAACACCACGGCTCGCCTCGCTGCGGGTGGGTGGCAGTGACGGAGACTGCAGTGCACCAGAACGGTAGGAGAGCGGCCGTGCTAGGAGGGCAGGCGGCTGCAGGCAGGGTTGGGAGTCAGGCTTACAGCGATGGACGGGCTGCAGCAGTGGCCAGGTGGTAGGAGCCTTGTAGGGAGGGCTGGTGCATTGGCAATGGGCCTGGCTTTGCCCTGTGCCTGCCGTGGATCTGGCCCTGTACTGCCCTGCCTTGCCCTGTACCTGCCCTACTGTTACCTGGACTCTCGGCCCTGTCCTGCTCTGGTCCCATCCTGTCCCTGTCTTGGCCCCGTGCTACCCTGTCCCTGCCCTGGTCTTGCCCTGGCACTGGCCCTGCCCCGATCCTGCACTGGCCTGACCTTGGCTCTGGCCCTGGCTCTGGCCCTGCCCCTTGTCCTGACCCTGGTCCTGTCATGGCACTGGCCCTGCCAATGGTCATGGTCCTGCTCCTGTTCTGGCCCTGACCTGGCCTTGTAAATGTCCTGGCCCTGCTTTGGCCCATCCCTGCCCTGGCCCCACCATGGGCCTGCCTGTTCTGCCCTCTCCTGGCACGACTTTGCCCTGTCATGGCCCAGTGGTGCCATTGCCCTGCTTTACCTTGCGCTGGTTGTGCCTTGGCCCCGCTTGGTGCTGGCCGCTCCCTGGACCTGCCCTGGACCTGCCCTGACCCTGCCTTGGCTTTTGCCCTGCCCTCACTATGGCCTGGCCCTGGCCCTAGCCCTGGTCCTGCCATATCCCTGGCCCTGCCCTTATCCAGGCCCTGCCCCTGCTGCTGCCCTGGCCCTGGCCTGGAACCTGGTCCTGTCAAGGACCTGCCCTGACTCTGCCATGGCCCTGGCCCTGCTCTGCCTTGTTCCTGGCCCTGACCCAGACCCAGACCCTTTCCTGGCTCTGCACTGGCCTTTCCCTGGCCCTGAGCTGGCAGTGGTCTGCCCCTGGTCTTGCCATCACCCTGCCCTGCTGTGCTCCGGGTGTGTCATCACCCTGCCCTGGCCCTACTCTGCCTTTGACCCTGCCCTGGCCTTACCTTGGCCCTCACCCTAGTCTTCGCTAGGCCCAGCACAGACCTGGCTCTGACCCTGGCCCTGGTCTTTGTCCTGCCATAGCCTTGGCCCTGAAGTGGACTTGGAGCTGTCCTGGCCCCTGTGTAACATGGCTCTGCATTGGCCTGTCTCTGCCCTGCCCCTACCATCGCCTTGCCCTGCTCTGCCCTGTCCCAGTACTGACCCGGCCATGCTATTTCCCTGCCCTACCCTGCCTTGGCTGTGCCCTGGCTCAGTTCTGGCCCCGGCCCCGGCCCTGCCCTGGACATGCTCTGACACTGCCTCAGCCTTGGCACTAGCCTGGCTCTTTCTTGGCATCAGCCCTGCTCTCTCTGTGGACCGGCTCTTGTCCTGTCCTGCACTGGCCATACCATGCCCTGCCCTGCCCTGCCCTGACTCAGCCCTGACTCAGCCTTGGCCTTGGCATTGCCCCTGGTCCTGCCATATTTCTTGCCCTGTCCGTACCCTAGCCTTGGCCCTGACCCTTACCTTGCTCTGGCCCTGCCCTTGCCCTAATGCAGCCCCTGGTCCTGTCGTGGCCCTGCCCTGGACCTGTCCTGGCCCTGGCCCTTCCCTGCTTGAGACCTTGCCCTGGTTCTCCCATGGCCCTGACCCTGAAATGCCTGGCCCTACCCTGGCCTTGCACTGCTCTGGCCCTTGCCCTGACTCTGGTCCTGTCACTGACCCAGCCCCAGCCCTGTTGCTGGTCTTACCGTGGCCCAGACCCTGCCTTGGCCCTGCCCTGACACTGTCCTGGACCCTGGCTGTGCCAAGAACCTGTACTGTCCTTGCCCTTGTTTTGCTCCTGCCCCAACCCTGGTCCTGCCCAGGCCGTTTCTATGGCCCTGGCCCTGGCCCTGCCCAGGTCTTGGCACTGGCCTGGCCCTGCCCTGCCCTGGCCCTATGCTTTCCTGGCCCTGCCTTGCCGGCCCTGGCCCTGCCTTGGCCCTAGCCTGGCTTTGACCCTGCCCTGGCCCTACCTTGGCCTTCACCCTAGCCTTACCTGGGCACTGTGTTGGACCTGGCCATAGCACAGACCTGGTTGTGGCCCTGGCCCTGCCGTGGCCCTGTCTCAGACCCTAGCCCTGCCAGGTACCGGTCCTGGCCCAGCTCTGGGCCTGGCTTTGTCCCTAATTCTTAGATGACCCTGGCCCTGCCCCTGCCCTTGCCCTTGCCCTGGCACTGGCCTTGGACATGTCTGTGGTCCTAACCCTGGCCCTGTCCTGGAGCTGCCACTGTCTTGGCCGTGCCCTGGCTCTGGCCCTGCCCCGGCCCCAGCCATAGACCTGCCCTGGTTGGTCGTGCCCTACCTTAACCCTGTGCTACCCTGGGCCTGCTCCACCCTGCCCTGGCCCTGCCCTCCCTTTGGCCCTGCCCTGACCCCACCTTGGCCCTCACACTGGCCCTAGCACAGACCTGGTCCTATCTGTGGCCTTGGCCTGGCATTGACCCCTGCTCCTGACCCCGGTCCTGCCATGGCCCTGGCCCTGCCAATGACCCTGGCAGCCCTGACCCTGGCCCTGTCTTGGCCCTGGCCCTGAACTGGCCCTGCCCTGACCCTGGCCCTGAAGTGGATTTGCAGGTGTCTTGTCCCTGATTTAACCTGGCCCTACCATGGCCCTGTCCCTCCCCTGGCTCTGTCCTGGTCTTGTGCTGACCCTGACCCAGACCTTGGCCCTGCCCCAGCCTTGTCCTAGACCTGGCCATGGCCCTGCGTCTGCCCTGGACCGGCGCTGGCACTGGCATGGGCCCTGGCCCTGGCCCTGGCCCTTCACTACTTAAGGCCATACCCTGGCCCAGCCCTGGTCCTGACCCTGTCCTGGCCCTAATTTGGCCTGGCTCTACCCTGGCATGCTATTCTGGCCCTAGCCCTGACCCTGTCCCTGTCCCTGTCCTGGTCCTAGCCCCGTTGCTGGTCCTGCCATGGCCCTTGTCCTGACATTGCCCTTTCCTGGTTCTGGCCCTGGCCCTGTCCCAGCCCTGCTCTGGCCCTGGTCTGAACCCTGGCCCTGCAATAGACTGCCTTGGTCCTGCTCAGACCCTGGCTCTGGCCCTACCTCTGCCCTGGCCATACCCTTGCCCTGGCCTGGACCCCAGTCCTGGTCCTTGTCCTGCCCCAGCCGTGGCCCTGGCCCTGCCCCTGCCCTGCCTGTGCCCTGTTCTATCCTGGGCTGGCCCTGCCATGGCCTGGTCTTGCCATTGCCCTGCCCTAGCCTGCCCCGCTTGTGCCCTAGATCTGCCCCGGCCTTTGCCCCTGTCTTGGTTCTAGCCTCGACTCAGCCCTGGACCTTCCCTGACCTTGCCTCAGCCCTGGCACTACCCTGGCATTGCCTTGGCATTTGCCCTACTCTCTCTATGGCCTGGCTGTGGTCCTGCCCTGCTCTGCTCTGGTTCTGTCCTGACACAGTCCTGGCCCTGGCCCTGGCCCTGCCGTATCACTGGCTCTGGTCCTGCCCTTATGCAGACCTGACCCTGCCACTGCCTTGGCTTTGGCCTGGACCTTGGCCATACAGTGACCCTGCCATGACCCTTTCCTGGTCCTGGCCTGGAACCTGGCCCTGCCAAGGACTCGCCCTGGCTCTGTCATGGCCCTGGCCCTTTCCTGGATTTGGATGTGTCCTGTCCCTTATTTGCCCCGGCCCTTCCCTGGCTCTGCCATACCCCTTCTCTGGGGTAGGGCCAGGGTCAGGACCAGACCAGGGCAGGTTCAGGACCAGGGTAGGGCCATGGTAAGGCCTGAAGATGGGAAGGGCCAGGGCAGTGGCTGGACCAGGGAAGGGTCAGGGCCAGGGATGTAGTAGGACTAGGGGCAGAGCCGGCACTAGGGCTGAGCCAGGGCAGAGCAGGAGAGATTACTTTAGGCTATTACGTAAAATTTTTATTTTAGATTTTTAAGATAACTATAGTAGTAGTAATGTCTATACTATGTTGTTTGTAATAGTAATGATATTTGCAGTAATCACTAAATTTTAACTAATATTATCTTTGCTTCCAGTAGTGTCCTATGAGTATAATTTTATCAACATGTAAATATGTGAGGCATTGATTCTCATAATAATTCTATATGCTAGGTACTTAAAGCATCCCCATTTTCCAAATGTAGGAAACAGGCATAAAGAAGTTAAATACTTGGCCAGATTACTCCTGTAATCCCAGCACTTTGGGAGGCCAAGGCAGGCAGATGGCTTGAGCTCAGGAGTTTGGAACCAGCCTGGGCAACATTGTGAAACCCCATCCCTACTAAAAATGCACAAAAAGAACTAATTTAAGTTTCTTGTAGGATTCTGGTTATAAAACACTGGTCAAACACACAGGGCATGGATAGGGCAGGGCCAGGGACAAGGTCAGGCCAGGAAGGGGCCAGGGCCAAGGCAGGGCCAGAGCTGGACTTGGAGGTGTCCTGGTCTGATTTGCCCTGCCCCAACGTTGGCCCAGCCCTGCTCTGGCACGTCCTGTCATGCCCTGTCCCTGGCCTGAGCATTGGCCCTGGCCCTGTCCTGCTTCTGGCCCTGCCCTGGAGTTGACCAGGCACTGCCATGGCCCAGTCCTGCATTGCCCTGCCCTCCTCTGCCCTGGTGCTGCCATGGCCCTGCTTGGGCCCTAGCTCTGCCTCGACTCTGGACCTGCCCTGACTCTGCTCAGCCCTGGATCTACCCTGACTCTGCCTTGGTGTTGCCCTCCCATCTCTATGGCCTGGCTCTGGCCATGCGTCGCACAGGCCATGCTCTGCCCTGCGTGCCTCAGCCTGGGCCCAGCCCTCATCCTACCATATTCCTGACCCCAGCCATACCCTTGTTCTGGCCATGACCCTGCCGTGGCCCTCTCCTGGCCCTTCCTTGGTCCTGCCCTGCCCTTCCGTGCCCTGGCCTTGCCCTCACCCTGCATTGGCCCTGCACTGGTCCTGCCCTGCCCTGGCACTGCCTTGGCCCCGGCCCTGCCTTCTCCCTGGCCTTGCCTTTGCCCTGCCCTGGCCTGACCCCAGGCCTACTGAGTCCATGAAATGGCCCTGGACCTGCCTTGCCATCCTCTGTCCTGGCCCTGTATTGTCCCCACCATGCTCTGGTCCAGCGCTTGCCCTAGCCCTGTTGCTAGTCCTGCCACTGCTATGGCCCTGCTCTGTTTTTGGCCATGCCCTGTGCTACCCTAGCCCTGCCCTGCCTTGGCCTTGGCCCTACCATGGCCTTCTCCTACCCTGGCCTGGCCCTACCCTGGCCTTTTCTACCCTGGCCTTGCCCTTCCCTGATCTTGCCCTGCCCTGGCCTTGCCCTACCCTGGCCTTGGCTTTGCCTTATCCTGGTCCTGGTTCTGCCCTGACCCTGGCCTTGCTCTGGATCCTCTCTGGTTCTGCTTTCTCCCTGGCCCTGCCCTTGCTCTGGCCCTGTCCCTGGCCCAGCCTTGACCCTGACCCTGGCCCTGACAATCCCCAGGTCTGACACTGGCCATGCTTGGCCCTGGCCCCTCCTTTTGGCCCTGCCCTGGCCCTGCCTTAGCCCTGTGCTATCTTAGTCCTGCCCTGGCCCTGAACTCGCCCTGGCCCTACCCTCACCCTACACTGGCCCCACCCTACCCTGGCCCTGCCTTTGGCCTGCTCTGGCTCTGGTTCTGCCCTGGCCTTGCCCTTGCCCTGGACCCTCCCTGGCCATGTTTTTTCCATGGTCCTTCTCTGGCCTTGCCCTTGCCCTGTCCCCTTTCTGGTCCTGCCATGTTTCTGGCCCTGCCCTGTCCATGTCCTGGACCTGACTCTGGCCCTGGACCTCCCTGTCCCTGCCCTGCCATACCCTGGCCTGTTCCTTGCTCTCCACTGGCCCTGCCCTGCCTTGGCCCTGTGCTACCCTAGCCCTGCCCTGGCCTTCTGCTGACCCTGATCCTGCCATGGCCCTGGCCCTGCCATGTCCCTGCCCTGGCCCTGGTTCTGCCCTGCTTCTGGCCCTGGCCTTGGTCCTCTCATGTCCCTGGCTGTGACCCTGCCCCTGGTTTTTCTCTGGCCATGACCCTGCCCCAGTTCTGTCCTATCCCTGGACCTGTCTCAGTTCTGTCCTAGCCCTGGCCTTTCACAGTACTTTATGCTTAGTAAAGCTCCATGGTGTCTGTGAGTTGAATGTTGTGTTCATAGTATCTGCCAAAACAGAAAGAAGAAAACAAAATATTTTGATAAGAAGTTAAAGCTTTGTATATAATATGCCTTGAATTGTAAGTGCCTGTTATTGGTTGTATTACATATAGGTCATGGTTTTGTACACATAACTCCAAACCGTTGATACTGTTAAAAGGATATATGAATATATGAAAGAATGTATAAATGTAAGAATGTATCAGTATCTAATGACCTTTCCAAATTAATTTTTAATTTTAGCTCTATTAGATTTTTCTCAGTGTAACAAATGTTTATTCCTATGTTATTAAGGGTGTATTTCCTGTCCAGAATATTCATATTACCTAATTGAAAATTATATGATACAAAAATATAATACTATTTTTAGGCCAGGCATGGTGGCTCATACCTGTAATCCCAACATTTTGAGAGGCCAAGTTTGGAGAATCATTTGAGTCCAGGAGTTGATCAGCCTGGGCAACATAGTGAGACCTTGTCTTTGTTAAATAAATAAATAAATAAATAAATAAATAAATAGTTTGGGCACTGTGGCTCATATCTGTCATCCCAGCATTTTGGGTTGCCAATGCAGGAGGATTGCTTGAGCCCAGGAGTTTGAGACCAGCCTGGGCAGAATAGCAAGACTCCATCTCTGCAAATAATAAAATATTAACCAGGTGTGGTGGTGCGCACCTGGGGTCCCAGCTACCTGGGAGGCTAAGGTGGGAGGTTTGCTCGAGGCTGCAGTGAACTGTGAATGCACCACTGCATTCCAGCCTAGGCCACAGAACAGGACCTTGTCTATAAATAAAGAAATAAGTAAAAATATAAATAAAAATAAGTAAAAATAAATATAAGTAAATATAAATATAAATACATATAAATATAAAAATGCATACATGAAAAGAAACAATTTTTAAATTTAACATCACTGAGGGCATCCTATCCATTTCATTTCATGATTCCATTACATCATTTCACTTAGATGAAATGATAAGATGACTTGAGATGAGATGAAATGATGAGATGAAATGATGAAATGAGATGAGATGAGATGATGAGATGAAATTTTGAGATGAAATGGTGAGTAGAAATGAGATGAAATGATGAGACGAAATGACAAAATTGAAAAGAAATTGAAAGGAGATGAGATGAGATAAAATGAGATGAAATGATGAGATGATGGATGAAATGATGAGATGAAATGATGAGATGAAATGAAATGAAATAATGAAATGATATGAAATAATGAAATTGAAATGAGATGAGATGAGGTGAAATAATGAGATAAAATGATGAGATGAAATGAGATGAACGATGAGATGAAATGATGAGATGAAATGAGATGAAAAATGATGAGATGAAAAA
Source organism: Homo sapiens (assembly GCF_000001405.40). Lineage (NCBI taxonomy): Eukaryota > Metazoa > Chordata > Mammalia > Primates > Hominidae > Homo > Homo sapiens. Next base: position 94,219,451 of record NC_000002.12, read on the forward strand.
TGAGATGAAATGAAATAATGAAATGAGATGAAATGAAATGAAGTAATGAAAGGAAATTATGAAATGTAATGATGAAATTGAAATGAAATTGAAATGAGATGATTTGACATGATGAGATGTAATGATGAAATGAAATGATGAAATGAGATGAGATAAAATGAGATGAAATAATGAGATGAAATGAGATAATGAGATTGGATGAGATAAAATCATGAGATGAAATGAAATGAAATGATGGATGAAATGATGAGATGAAATGAGATGAAATGTAATGAGATGAAATGAAATGACATAATGAAATGAAATAATGAAATGAGATGAAACATAATGAAATGAAAATGAAATGGAAATGATGAGATGAGAAGAAATGATGAGATGAAATGATGAAATGATGAGATGAGATAAAATGAGATGAAATGATGAGATGAAATGAGATGAAATGAGATGAAATGATGAGATGAGATGAAATATGATGAGATGAAATGACATAATGAATGAAATGATGAAATGGAATAATGGAAATGATGAGATGAGATGCAATGAGTTGAAATGAGATGAAATGATGAAATGATGAGATGAAATGAGATGAGATGTGATGAAATGATGACATGAAATGATGACATAAAATGAGATGAAATGAGATGTAATGATGGAATGAGATGAGATGAAATGAGATGAAATGAGATAAAATGATGATATGAAATGATGAGATGAATGATGAGATGAAATGATGAGATGAATGATGAAATGATGAGATGAGATGATGAAATGAAATGGTGAGATGAACTGATGAAATGAAATGAAATAATGAAATGAAATTGAAATAAAATTGAAATGAGATGAGATGAAATGATGAGATGATGAAATAAAATGATGAAATGAGATGTGATGAGATGAAATGATGAGATGAAATGATGAGATGAGATGACATGAAATAAATGAAATAATGAAATCGAAATGAGATGAGAAGATACGAGATGAGATGAAATGATGAAATGAGATAAGATGAAAAGAGTTGATGAGATGATGAGATGAAATGAGATGAAAAGAGATGAAATGAGATGAAATGAAATGATGAGATGAAATGAGGTGAAATGAAATTAGATGAAACGTAATGAGATGAAATGACATAATGAAATGAAAAAATGAAATGAAATAATGAAATGAGGTGAAATTAAATGAGATGATGAAATTAAATGATGAAATGAAATAATGAAATGGAAATGAAATGGAAATGATGAGATGAATGATGAGATGAAATGATGAGATGAGATGTAATGATGAGAGGAAATGATGAGATGTAATGAAATGAGATGAAATGAATGAGATGAAATGAAATAATGAAAGGAAATTGAATGGAGATATGAGATGAAATGAGATAAAATGAGATGAAATAAATGATGAGATGAAATGATGAAATGCTGAGGTGAGATGAGATGAAATGAGATGAAACGATGAGATGAAATGAAAGAATGAGATGAAATGATGAGATGAAATGATGAAATGAGATGAGATGAGAAGAAATGACTTGATGAGATGAGATAAAATGATGAAATGAAATGAAGTGAAATGAAATTGAAATGAGATGAGATGAAATGAGATAAAATGATGAGATGAAATGAGAAGAAATGAGATGAAATGATGAAATGATGAGATGAGATGAAAAATGATGGGATGAAAAATGAGATGAAATGATGGGATGAAATGAAATGAAATAATGAAATAATGAAATGAAATGAATTGATAATATTGAAGTGAAATTGAAAGATGAGATTGGATGAAATGATGAGATGAAATGAAATGTTGAAATGAAATGAAGAGATGTAACATGAAATGAGCTGAAATGATGAGATGAAATGAAATGAAATGAGATTAAATGATGAGATGAAAAATGATGAGATGAAATGATGAGATGAAATGAGATGAGACGAATTGAGATGAGATGGGATGAGATGAAATAATGAAATTAGGTGAAATAATGAAATGAGATGAAATAATGAAATAAAATTGAAATGAGATGAGAAGAAATGAGATGAAATGTTGAAAAGAAAGGAGGAAATGATGAGATGAGATGAAATGATGAGATGAAATGAACTGAGATGATGAGATGAAAAATGATATGAAAAATGATATCAAAAACGACATGAAATGAAATGAGATGATATGAAATGACATAATGAAATAAATGAAGTTAGATGAAATGAAATGAAATAGTGAAATGAAATGATGAAATGAAATAATGAGAATGAAATGGAAATGAGATGAGATGAGATTTGATGAAATGATGAGATGAAATGATGAGACGATATGAAATGATGAGATGAGATGGGATAAGATGAAATGATGAGATAAAATGATGAGATGAAATGATGAGATGAAATGAAATGATGAGGTGAAGTGATGCACTGTCACGTGTGTGTCTTTTTCCCAACCAACAAAAATTATAATTCATTAATTTTAATTTTATTATTTAAGAATATTCTTAAGAGTTGAAGGAAAAATAATATCTGTACATTATGGGTTACAATTAAGTATAAATAATACATAAATATATTAAAACTTACAAAGAATATGTTTCGGAATCGAATATACCATGCTTCTGTGATGACAGTTATTTCATGCTGGTTGTCACAATTTTACATGAAAAACTAATGAAAAAATGTTTTTAACTGTTTCTGAAAATAAGTTTCCAAAACAGTTTTACATTCAAAATAGGAGAAAGATGTCTTTGTGTTCCTTAATCTGATGAGATTTTCACACTCTGCACATGATAATTGTTAGATTTTTATTGTGTTGATAAATTGTATATCAAATAAAAAGTGTTATTACCTCTTAAATTAGGATTTTTAGGTGATATAGGCAGAAAGGAAGGCAAGTTTTTATAACTTTGTCTAAATGAACTTTCTAAATGTCTGAGTATTAAAAGATAGCATGTCTATAAATCACAATGTATATATTACTGTATGACCTAGAACCAATCAAAACCATTATCTCTGATAACATTATATTGTGCCCAGTATAAAATAGATATAATAATACCTCAAACTTAAATCCAGGCATTGTCATTGAATATCTTAAGAATATGCAGCAAAGGTGCTTTTAAAAATACAAGCTAGTGATTGTACTAAATTTGTAAATCACATAGGATAGTGGGTCATTTTAAGAATATTATTTCAATCTATAAAAGTGGATGTCTTTCCTTTTTTATGTTTTCTTTAATTTCTTTCATTAATGTTTGTCATTTTTGTTGTCGAAATCTTTTACTTCCTTGGTTAAATTTATTTCTAAGTACATTTTTGTAGCTATTCTAAAAGGAATTGCTTTCTTAATTTCTTGTTTCAGCTAGTTTACTATCAATATATAGAAATGCTACTGATTTTTATATGTTGATTTATATCCTGCAACTTTATTAATTTCATGTATCACCCCAAGAAGCTTTTGGTAGAGTCTTATTTTTTTCCATGTATAAGATCACATTGTCTTTAAACAGGGACAATTTGACTGTCTCCTTTCCAATTCAGATGTCCTTTATTTCTTTCTCTCACCTAATTGTCCTGGCTAAGACTTTCACTATGTGAAATATGATTGGTGAGAATAGGCATCCTTTTCTTGTTCCAGTAAAATCTTTTTCTTGTTCACAGTAAAATCTTTCACCTTTTCCACACTCAGTATGATCTTAGCTGTAGATTTGTCCTTTATGTCCTTTGTGTTAAGGCATATATTTTCTATACTAAATTGTTGAGAAGTTTTTTGTCATGTAAGAATATTTAATTTTGCCAAACGCTTTTATTGTGTTTATTAATTTAATCATATGGTTTTCAGTATATATCCAAAGGAAAGAAAATCAGTATATCAAAGAGTTACCTGCACCCCCATGTTTATTACAGCACTATTCACAATAGCCAAGATGTGGAATCAACAAAAGTGTCCATCAACAGATGAATGGATAAAGAAATGTGACATACATATATAATGGAATATTATTTAGTCATAATAAAGAACAAAATCCTGTTATTTGTGGCAACAAGAATGCAAGTGGGCGGCATTATGTTAGGTGAAATAAGCCTGGCATAGAAATATAAACACCACATAACTATGTGTTCTCACTTATGTATGGAAGCTAAAATTTTTAATCTCGTAGAGGTAGATAGTAGAGTTTTGGTTACCATATCCTGGAAAGAGTAGGAGAAAGAAGAGTATAAGAAAAATGTGGTTAATACATACAAAATTACAGCTGGAGAGAAGGAAGAAGTTCTAGTTCTCTACAGCACTGTTGGGTGACTGTAGTTAACGGGAATTTATTGTGTGTTTTCAAATAACTAAAATAAAAGATTTTGAATATTCTCACTGCAAAGAAATAATACATGATTTAGGTAATGGATATGATAATGACTCTGACTTGATCTTTACGCATTGCATAAATATATCAAAATATCACTCTGTACCCCATAACATGTACATTTATTATATGTCAATTAAAGTAAATTTAAAAGAGAAAAAATGAGGTAAAGGTAAATGTACAGAATTTAATTACTTTTTCTTCTATAAAACCTGAGTCAGTACCAAGAAGAATCAATTTATTAGTTTTCTAAAATAAAAAAAATCAAAATCACCAAAAAAGAGCAATATCCAAGAAAGCACTGAAAATGAAACACAACATTTAGTAAGAATAGAAAACTTGGGCACTGTATCACCCTGTTCCTAGATACCGATTTACTGATGGCCATTTAAATAGAATTTTATTCTATCTAGTTCATTTATACTCCCAGAGTTTGAAATTACATTTTACCTACAATAAATGAGATAACACTTGTAAGTTATATGGTACTCTGCCTAACACACGTTAATAGCTCAATACATGTTAGCAATAAACTTTTAGTATAGTAGTCAAAGTATTAATTTCTCACATTGCAATTTCCTTCAAAGGCATAAATACAACCTCTCTAATGACTCCTTGTTCATCAAGATACCTCTTCAAATTATTCTATTTGTTTCATTCAGTATATTATCTGTGTATACCGATATTACACTCTTTTCTTTCTTTGAGGTGGAATCTCATTCTGTTACTGATGCTGGAGTGAGGTGGCATGATCTCGGTTCACTGCAACCTCCACCTCCCAGGTTCAAGCGATTCTCCTGTCTCAGCCCCCCAAGTAGCTAGGACTACAGGTGCACACCACCATGCCTGGCTAATTTTTGTATTTTTAGTACAGTCAGAGTTTCACCCTGTTGTCCAGGCTGGACTCGAACTCCTGACCTCAGGTGATCCACCCACCATGGCCTCCCAAAGTGCTGGGATTACAGGCATAAGCCACCGCACCCAGCATGATATTGCACTCTTGGATTTTGAACACTGAATATCTTCTTGAAAGATTACACCTCTTTACCTCTTCGTGCTTCAGAAATTATTTTCCTTCAAGTGTTCTAAGAGTCTAATGAAGAATGAAGTCATGTTTTATCACTTTTGACCTTAAAGATTTCAGACATGCTGAAACTGATTGAAGTATCATTTGCTACCAGATAGATTAGTTATCTCTAGTTGTAGGAGTGGGTACATCTTTAATGGTATATTCTGGGTTATTGTCTTATTTTTGATGTAGTATTCTATCAACAATTTATTAAACCTGGCATCCTTGGGTGAGCATGGATTTTTCAACTTTGGTGTTATATTGTGTTTGCTTTTAAAAACTGCTTTTGAGGCCAGGTATGGTGGCTCTTGCCCATACCCAGCACTTTGGGAGGCCAAGGTGGGCGGATTACCTCAGGTCAGGAGTTCAAGACCAGCCTGGTCAACATGGCAAAACCATGTCTCTACTAAAAACACAAAATTAGCCAGGCATGGTGGTGCATGCTTGTAGTCCTAACCACTCGAGAGGCTGAGGCAAGAGAATCACCTGAACCTGGGAGGCAAAAGTTGCTAGGTTGCTGTGAGCCAAATTCGCACCATTGCACTCCAGCCTGTGTGAAAAGAGCAAAACTCTGTCTCAAAAAAAAAAAAAAAAAAAAAAAAAAAACGACCAAAAGCTGCTTTTGAATGGAGTTGTACATACAATTTTGATGAAAAAAATGATCAAGTGCATAAGTTCATAATAGAAAAACCAATAATACTCCAGGCACAAGTTAGTACTAAAAAAATTATGTTGAATATGCTCTAATACAACATGCTTTTTCCCTTCATGAACAATTTGTGTTTTACTGAGAAGAGTCATTGTTTATGGTAGACATTAGACTACAGATGAATATGCACTTTAAACACTCTTAGTTGCTTTCTTAATTTTATATCTGCTGCTTTATGCTTCTGTTTATTTTCATTCTTTCCGATGTCCACATTCTAGTAAATTTGAATATTTTAATCCAAGTTTATATACTATTTAATATTGCTTGTATAGTTTAGTATTGTTAAGACTCAAAAAGGTTTACAGAAAGAAGAAAAAGATCAACATGTTATTAATCATTTAAAGATCATTTTGAAGTCTTTGACCTTTATATTTTAATGAATAAAATATTAGTAGTTATTAGTATAAAATAATTTATGTCTTTTGGACTTAGCATCCAGTATTTCTTTTTTAATAAAGAAAATAATTATTCTCTTGCAATATACTATGTTTACCTGGGTTTTGAAAAGTGATGTTTCCTTATATGAGAAAGCCATTTACATTTTTAAATCTACAAAGGCAAATGGAATGGTACTAAATTATTTACATAATAATGTTTAGATGGTGGCCCTTATAACATTCTTTCTATACTTCCTACAGAGTTGGGGATAGGCAATCCTAGAATATTTCTGGGAGCTAATCCTTTAGCTTGATGAATGAAACAAGACTTTTAAATAAAATTAAACTTTCAAATTATCCAGGTAATGGGCCTGTCTTTTAATTCAATGGATATGGAGCATAATGAATTATCCCCTGTTCATTGGGTAATAAGTTCTCATTCTTAATTTATAATACTCAAAATGTCCTTTAATTTTTAATTTTTGATAGTCATATCATTATCCCTAGGTATTTTAGCTTCTATCTTAAATTCTAAAATAATTTTGAAACAGGAGAAAGTATTCTTTATTACTATATGTATTAAACATCATGGTTTTCGAATTTAACTGCAAATGTATCTTTTCATTGCTTCTTGGTGACGCCCTTCACCCTATCCATATTGTCACTACCAAGTGGTGATTACTTTTCAGGTTCACATATTCTTTAGAAAAATCTTCTCTGTGCCTTATAAAGAATATGATTGTTGGCATTCAAAAGCCAGCGAAATATACATTATTAGCCTGTTGCCTAACTCATTTCTTTAAGAAACTACACTAATTACCCACATACTTATGTTTTTATTTCCTCATTATTTCTGGAGAAAACAAATATTGCTAACATGATATTTGTAAGAGAGAAAAAACTCTTTTCTTGAAAAGTGCTGTCATTGTAGTACTAACTTATAGTATCAACTTCTTTATCAACTCCTTATACACTTTTTATTCTGAGAGAAATAAAAAAGCTAAAAGTGAAGTGACTTTTTTTAACTCTCCATATTATAAGCACCCATCTTGGCAATTTAGGGTCTTTATAGTTAGGGTAAGTTGTGTCATACCGAGGTTACAAAATAAAAAGTATTTTGTCTCTTTGGGCCTTTCCTTATTCAGTAATACTGTCAGTTTGGCTTTTTTTGTAGGTCAACTTACTGAACTCAGTATTCTGAAATAATGTGTTTACTATCTTTTGATAAGCATTTAAAATATTAGATTTATTGTTACTCTTCTGCCTTCATTGGGCTGGAAGAATAATTGTTTCACTCCACAAAAACCAAGTTGCAGAGAAAAACACATAGACATTCAACTGCAAAGCAGAGAAACTTGACTATTTTCTGCAATTTTAAAGTGTATATTGAATAAAACCATCTTTTTATTTTCTTTTTTGCTCACTGGCAAATATTAACAACATCAAGTGCGTTATTATAATGTTATCTAGTTAAAAATCTCAAAAAGTTTTCATAATTACCATTTAAAAATATATAAATAAGTGACCTAATGTTAATTTTTATTGTCTGAGACCATGTCTGTTATTTCACTCTTTAAAATCAGTTAGTAATGCAGAACCTAGCACTTAGTAGATACTCAAAAATTATTTGCTGAATAAAAAAGGGTTAAACATGTAATATACACAAAATGTACTGGAAAAAATGCACCAAATAATTTTGTTATACCAGTTTAATGTAAATATTGCCTTTAAAAGATAATATAGTTTTCAGGTGTCTACAGTGATTTTGTAATATTTGTGCACATATAAAATAATATTTCCAAAAATGTAATCCAGTGGGGAAATATACTTTCTAAATTCTAGATTTATAATTTAGGGTTTAAATTATAAAATCATTAAATAAGACACAAGTGAAATATAGTCAAATATCCCCTTGGAAAAAAATTAAGTGGCCTCTAAAGTGAGGTATTCATATATGTAATTTTACAATCCCCTAGTGATAGAATTAATTAAATATGCCACCAAATTGATTAATTCCTACAGTGTTAAAAGAGAAGCACTAACAATGCCAGTGACCATGTAACATGGATTTAAGCTACAAGTCATAGAAATGTGATGAGAAGCCTCAGCACTGTAAAACCGAGGGTGGAGGAAAGCTTTTCCTCTCTCAAATGAGCTTTGCAAGGTATACTTCTTGAAGGATAGGAAGTTGAAGTGTTCAGGACTTTTATGTCTATTCTACTTTGGCTTAGTTTACATGATTCTTAGTTTATTAGCCTAGAAATGGCCAAGAAAACTTAAGGCTCAATAATTAGTTATAAATATGAAATATCCCCAATTTTTAAGATAAAAACAACTTATAAATGTATTTGTCTGTAAAAATTGTGTATATTTTTACAGGACATCTATTTCTTTTTTTATTTTTTATATATATTTTTTATACTTTAAATTCTAGGGTACACATGAACAATGTGCAGGTTTGTTGCATATGTATACATGTGCCATGTTGGTGTGCTGCACCCATTAACTCATCATTTATATTAGGCATATCTCCTAATGCTATCTCTCCCCCCTCCCCCCACCCCACAACAGGCCCTGGTGTGTGATGTTCCCCTTCCTGTGTCCAAGTGTTCTCATTGTTCAATTCCCACCTATGAGTGAGAACATGCGGTGTTTGGTTTTTTGTCCTTGCGATAGTTTGCTGAGAATGATGGTTTCCAGCTTCATCCATGTCCCTAGAAAGGACATGAACTCATCATTTTTTATGGACGCATAGTATTCCATGGTGTATATGTGCCACATTTTCTTAATCCAGTCTATCATTTTTGAACATTTGGGTTGGTTCCAAGTCTTTGCTATTGTGAATAGTGCCGCAATAAACATACGTGTGCATGTGTCTTTATAGCAGCGTGATTTATAATCCTTTGGGTATATACCCAGTAGTGGGATGGCTGGGTCAAATGGTATTTCTAGTTCTAGATCCCTGAGGAATGGCCACACTGACTTCCACAATGGTTGAACTAGTTTACGGTCCCACCAACAGTGTGAAAGTGTTCCTATTTCTCCACATCCTCTCCATCACCTGTTGTTTCCTGACTTTTTAATGATCACCATTCTAACTGGTGTGAGATGGTATCTCATTGTGGTTTTGATTTGCATTTCTCTGATGGGTCTATTTCTTTAAAACAAAGGGAGGGGAGTCTCTCATTTACATTAGTTTTTTTCATAGCCTTTTGGACTTTGCAATTTCTATGTTTTGGAACCTATTTCTTACAGTTTTTCTATGCTAAACTCTGTCCTGGTCAGTTCCAGAGTGTATGAAGAACCAAATCATGTAATTGTATGTGACCTGGCTGTAGTGGAACAAATTTGACTCTTAAGTATGCAGGCTCTAATTTTCCTGTCTGGTTTTGGTAAGTATTCCTTACATAGGTTTTTTCTTTGAAAATCTGGGATTGAGAGGTTGATGAATGAAAATTAAACCTTTCACTTTGTTGTATATAGGTTTGCAATATTTAGGTCAGAGTGGAGTTTTAAGGTCATGAAGGGGGCTGATGACTTACAAATAATGGGCTCTGATTGGGCAACTACTCATCTGAGTTCCTTCCATTTGACCTAATTAAGCTTGTGAAATTTACACTAAGCCATGAGCTCATCTTTAAAAAGTTTTGTTAAAAGATTTTCAGCTGTTCCAAATGGGACTTATTAGTGGAATGTGTTTTAAAGGATCATATCAGATGAATGAAAGGTATTTGATCCTTTCTTTCCTTAATAATAAAATGATGGTTTGGAAAAATAGGCTACAGTCTAACCACAGTGCTATTATTAGGCTTTCTTGTTAAACATAGGTCTAAGCCTAAGTATGTCAATACAACAAATACTTACTGTTTCATTTCTAGTAATAAAAAAAAAAGTCTTTCTGGCATAAGGATGATTTTGATCTGGTTATTTTGAAACATTTTTGTAAAATAAATTTACATCTATAAAGAACATTTTTATTCGTAAGGAGGGGTATGTCTCTGTGCACTGGAAGAGAGGGAGGACTAAATCACTGGGAAGTCTTATGATAAAGAAGCCATTGGCTTAAATCAGCAAAGCAAGCCATCCCTTGGTTTAAGGTGTTTTTCCTGGCCATCCTGTCTTGACTAGAACTTTACCTACACCTTCCTTTTTGGTTTAGGCAAATTATAGTATCTAAACCTGAAGTCTCAGCTCTGTGTCTTTGAGATATAAATGTTCTACCATGTCTTCTCTGGAACCTGATAACTATCTATCTCTTTAAAATGGAAGTCTAGGGAGATGACTCATCAGAAAAAGAAGAAAAAAGAGGTATTTGGAAATTGTGCAAATTAAAGCAGCCCCTGATGCCAAAGTCTACACATTCCTGAGTGAGTCAGTTCTGGCCAGTTCTAGCTGGGTCAAGAGAGCTCTGCTGGGCAGGCCTGAAGAGCAGCTGGATGGCAGACACCTGAGGAGCCAGGTGCCTGAAACTTCCCCCACCTGCTTGAGGAGCACCAAAGCCCGGGTGCTGGCTGGACAACCCCTTCTGGCTGCCTAAGCCGGTGGCAGAGGAAGGAAAAAAGGTCAGAGGCAGAGTGTTGAACCCTGCCTCCCAGGTGGGTGGAAGATGCCTGTTGCCAAACTAGGGCCCAGCTTGCCGGGTGAGGTGGGTGAACTGGTGATCCCCCGAGAGAGCGGACGTCAGAACTACATGGTCCCAGACTTCAGCTCGGCCAGTGAAGGAGAGAGAGGGTTAATGTTAACTGCAGGAGGCCCACTCTAGCCTTAAATTCTGTAATTCAAACCCTTCCCTTGGAGACAAAACAAACATAACAAGGAATTCTGAGGTCAGGGGACAAGAATCACAAGTTCCCTAGTGGGAGACTGAGGAGGCAGTGTCCTTTCTGCCCTTGGTCTGCTGGCTAAGAACCTTCCTCAGCCTGACCTTTCCACATTGCACTTTCAGCTCTGTTTGCAATTTTCCTCCTTTAGTGCTGAGGGAATCCCAGTGTTCGATCCTGAAATCTCTACGTTCCTAATGGGTGGTTAAAAAAAACCTCAGCAAGAGAAGCAGAAAATGTTTCCTCTTCCTGAAAAACTGTAGAAAGGCAGGCACCATTCTGGGTGGGACATGGTCCTTGCAAAAGTCTTTATGTTTTGTTTTTTTTTTTATGTTGAGATGAAGTTTTGCTCTTGTTGCCCCGACTGGAGTGCAGTGGTGTGATCTCTGCTCACTGCAAGCTCTGCCTCCTGGGTTCAAGAAATTCTCCTACCTCAGCCTCCCGAGTAGCTGGAATTACAGGCACCTGCCACCATACCTGGCTAATTTTTTGTATTTTTAGTAGAGATGGAGTTTTGCCATGTTGGCCATGTTGGTCTCGAACTCCTGACCTCAAGTGAGCCACCCGCTTCTGCCTCCCAAAGTACTGGGATTACTGGCGTGAGTCACTGTGCCCGGCCAAGATTCTGTTTTGATAGAACACTTGTGTCTCTCTCACCTTGTATTTAGAAAAGTTAGAAAGTAAAGGATAATGTATATAGAAAGCTTTTTGAAGACTCTTAAGAAGTTCATAAATATGGGGCACTGTGACTATGCATATGAAAATATTTCCTATCAGTTGGCAGTTACCACCTCTTATAGTGGCATGGAACCTCTTGAGTTAAACCAAGGCTCAGTGAGATTTGGTGATTTAGGTAGTGTCATTTTATGAACAAGGGGGACCCTACTCAGGTCTTTTATTTTATTATACTTCTCTTTGACATTCACTCCAGTTAAAGAACTCTTTCAAAAGACCTCATGCCTGGTCTCACGGAGATTCAAAGGTGTTTGAGTCCTTCCTTATTATGCCCTTGGAAGATGCTTTGAGGACCCCAGTGATGAATCCCAAGAACTCTGTCTCCATTATCCCTGGTATAGGGCACCTCATCACTCTGGTGTTATCCCTGAAGGGCCTTCATAATAATGTGCTTAAAGAGTCCCCTATTATGTCCTTCAGGATGGAGCTTGACTTGCCCAAATTGCTATGTACATATTAAAGAGAGGCTGGAACTGAAGTTGGTCATTTCTCACTGGATCAGTCAACAAGATTTGAGTACTTTCTGTGTGCTCTGCATCATTCTGAGTACTCTGGGGGACAGAATAAGGCATGGCTCCTGCCTTCAAGGAGTATGGAATTTAATAGAAGATGACAACATACATGATTGTAAATCTATCTACATGAGAGTGCCTAATTGTGAGATTCCTAATAAACGGCAAGATATGTTCTGAAAATCTGAAACATAAATGAGGTTGAAGAAATTGTGAAAAGTTTAGCAGAGGAGGAATAATTCGTCAGGTTCTTTAAACACAAGTAAAGGGGAAAGGAAGGACCATTTTTAAGTTTAGATATTCCAAGCGTTAGTGGTGAGGTTGATTATGGTATGTCTTCTCGTTGATGAGGGAGGAGACTGGTGAATAGTGGAAAATAAAGTTAAATAGCTAGGGTGGGGCCAAATTCTGGGTTTTAATAAAAGCCAGGCATAGAAATTTAGATTGGGGTGGTAGAAAAAGGAAGGCTTTAATAGTTTTTGATCCAATGAATGACATCATACAAGTTCTATATAAAGAGCAGTGATTTCAGGATGGGAGAGAATGGCATCAGGAAGACCCACTTGAATGCTGGTAAGTAATGTTACTAACAGTGCCATTAGTAACATTAATGTTACTAGGGCCTGGACTGATATGCTGATGGAAGTGAGAATGAAGAATAAGGTGGGATGAAAGAGATTTTGACAAGAGTTTTTTAATGAACCTGAAACGGGAAAGGGCGAGATTAACTAAGCCTGTTTGCCATGGACAGCAATGGGGTTGCTAGAAGATTAGCTGTGCGGAAAAATTATGCATTTACCTTTGGGCATAATAAAATGCAATTGACTCTCCATATTCATGGGTTCTGCATCCACTGATTCAAACAACTGTGGAACAAAATTGTCAGAAAAAACAATACAGTGATAAAAAATGATACAAATAAAAAACAACATGGTATACCAACTATTTACATAGCATTTACATCGTATTAATTGTTATTAAGTAATCTAGAGATGATTTAAAGTATATAGGAGGATGTGTGTAGGTTATATGCAAATACTACACTATTTTATACCAGTAACTTGAGCATCCATGGATTTTGGCATACAAGGGGGATCCTGGAACCAATTCCCCATGCATATCAAAGGATGACTGTATGAGTTATCTGTAAAATGGTTTGGTTGAAATGTTTAGAAAACAGCTAGAAATACAAGACTGGCTGTTGGATGAAAAAAACATAGGACTAGGAAATTCAGGTATGCTAGTCTTTTTGAGTATTGCTTAAAGCCATGGGAAAAGAGCTCTCTGTGAGTTCCAAGACAGATGCAAGGACTGGCATTCATGCACAGCTTCTAACAGATAAATCTGAAGAGTTCTTAGTATGCATGTTGACTGAAATTACTTTAGAAGTAATTTTTCTCCTGGTGATAAAAGGCATGTAAGGCTATTTTAGGAAATTGAAAAATGCAAAAAGGTATAAAGAAAAAGAAAAGATAATCATTAATAGTACATTAGTAAACAAGATTTGACTAAAGATATGACTTTCCTCCCGCTTGTTTTCTTATGCATATAAAGGGATAGGAAATATGTATGTGTGTATGTGTGTGTATAGGATCATGCACTATATATAGCTTGCTTCTTTTTCCGTTATGATAATTTTCCCATGTCATGAATTACGGCTTGCAAGTGCTTATTCTTAAAGGGCTGCATTATTTTTCATTATTTGGATTTATTATTTAATTGGAGCTCTATTATTGAACATTTAGATTGCTTCCAAAATTTTTTGCTCTTGTTAATATATTGTAATAAACTTCTGTGAAACACATACTCTTCACCTGCTACTTACATATGACTTCTGTAAGCAGAGACCTCTGTATCCCCAGGACCTAGAAGGTTACCTGGACATAGTAGTTGCTTAACTAAAAAAAATTATTGATTGAATGAAAGAAGACTATTAAATGTTCAGTTCTTCTTTTTTTATTCTGATTCCCTGTGTATCCAGGGGCCTCTTATTTGTCTGCATGTATGAGTTTGGCTGTAATGAAAGTATTGGCCGTATATGACCATAAACAGGCATTGCTATTTCTGTCACAGTTATATTTGTCATTCTGTATTAATACATCTATATGCTGATTTCTATTGAAGCATGGTTAATTTTGTTTGCTTCTAAGCAATGTAGCTACCCTACTGATGCTGATAAAATTAAATTTCTGAACCTATAAGACTGAGGATTGGGCCTAGGTTGTGGTAAATTGGCAAGATAATGGATGCTACCCTGTCAAGAGCCCTCTGAAGAGAAAAGTCTGCCACCCTTCACCAGGTAGAAACTCCTGGCAGTGCCACATTTTCCAGTTTGACGCCCTGTGATACCCTGAAAAGACAGATGTTTGACTCTTTTCAAATAATATTTTAACATATTTTAAGACGCAAAGGCATTGTGTCGGACTTTTTTCTTAAGAATATATTTCATTACCACTCAGAAGTTAGCTTCCAAAAGAAACAAGTGTGTGCAAAGGTTTATGATAGTGGTGTAGAGAAGTTTTTAAAATAAATGTGCATCTTTTATGGTAATAAAAGCACATTATGAAGAATTTTTTAGGTCCAGTTCACAGATTCCTTGTGCCTGGGGAAAACTTTATTAGAAAATTAGATAATTTCTAATTTGATTAGGGGAAGTCTAATGGGAAAACTTTTTAACTGAGCGGTCCAATTCGAAACATGAATATCTGTGCTGGAAGCTTCTATTGAACTTTACTTAAGTCACATCTAAGACCCTCTGCCTGTCAGTCCACCATTACCCTAACTGTGGTAGAAATTCTCTATATGACACCTAGATCTTTTTTTGTTGCACTTTTAAGCTGTGTAGGAAACACACTGCCCACATGTTCATACAACACAGAGTGATTATCCACTTAGTTCCTAAAAAGTTGTATTTGGTTATGGGGTTTGATCCCACTTGTCCAGGGTTTAGGTCAGCTACTGAAGATTAGGATATCTGGGTACCTCTTACTGGAGAATGCATTCCTGTTTTCATTTCATTCCTGGGGGCAATATTCAATCTGGTGTGGCCCTCTGTATTATAAAATGTTTCCCAGATTGTGTTTATCTGAAATACAAATCCAAGAAGAAGCATGGTGTTAATTGCCGTGTAAAAAAGATTCCAGAGTCAAGAGCTTGAGAAGTTCTGTTCCTTCCTTCATAGGTTCAGTTGTTTAACCCAGCATTTTTCAAACATATTTTACTCCTAGAACCTGTTTTTCCTCAGACATATTTAAGAAAAAAGCATTTTGTAGAACACATTTGGACAAATGATACTTTATATCATTGCTTTGTTTTTTAAATTTTAGTTTGACTCAATTTTACAGTTTCAGGATTTTGTTTCTGTTTCAGGTTTTAAGCTTTTCTTTTATAAATAGTTACTTTCCTAGTCTGAAATCTATACATTGTTTCAGTAATGAATTCATTATGTAAATTTGCCCATCATTCATCTAAAGGGAATAAATGTTAAATTGTTTTTTTAAATTTTGACTTGTGTCACATATGAGAATATAAAGTATATCTGTACAATAAAGGAAAATGAAACATCAAAGTATCTACCTCAGGTTAAGAAGCAGAACTTGGCTGGGCATGGTGGCTCACACCTGTAATCCCAGCACTTTGGGAGGCAGAAGTGGGAAGATCACTTGAAGCCAGGATTTGGAGACCAGCTTGTTCAATAAAGGAAGACCTCATCTCTAACAACAACCACAACAGCAAAAAATTAGCCAGGCACGGTGACACATGCTTATAGTCCCAGCTACTGGTGCAGCCTCAAACTCCTGGTCTCAAGCCATCTTCCCACCTCGGCCTCATGTTGTAGTGAACTTTGTTATGCAGTGTCTCCTATTCTACATGTGCAGGAGTATTTTTACAGTATGTACCTGGAGTGGAATTGCTTGGTCATTGGGCATGTGTGTGTTCAGCTCTATTGAGTGGCATCATACTGTTCTCCAAAGCAGTTGTACCAATCTACACCCTCACCAGCAGTGAATAGTCTTCCCATTGCTCTTCCTCAATGAAACTAGATATTCACAGCCTTTTAGGTTTTTCCTAGAGTATGAAGTGGTATCTCTTTGGGGTTTTAATGTTTATTTCCCTGATTAGAATTGTAGTTGAGCATCTTTTATTATGTTTATGGGCCATTTATGTTTTCTCTTCCGTGAAATTCCTATTCGGGTTTTTTGCTCATTTTAAATGTTGTTGTTTGTGTTTTTCTTATATAGGAATTCTTCACGCAATCAAGATGCACGTATGTTGTTCAGAATAGTACCTGAGACATAGAAACAACTTTGTAAGAATAGCTATCATTACATTACCATTGTATTTAATCCTTTGTTTTTATGTGTTACAATTATCTTCTGCTAATTTGTGGCTTATTTTTCATTCTGTGATGCTAATTTTTTAACCTAGTATTCTATTATTTTAAAAATACACAATCTTGAGTAGTCTACATGTTCATAACCATGACATATTCATGTTGCATATGTTCTGTGTCATAACCCAGAACTTTCTTTCTTTTTTTTTTTTTTTTTTTTGAGATGGAGTTTTGCTTTTGTCACCCAGGCTGCAGTGCAATGGCGTGATCTTGGCTCACTGCAACCTCTGCCTCCTGGGTTCAAGAGATTCTCCTGCCTCAGCCTCCCGAGTAGCTGGGATTACAGGCACCTGCCACCATGCCCAGCTAATTTTTGTATTTTTAGTAATGACGTTGTTTCGCCATGTTGGCCAGGCTGGTCTCGAAATCCTGACCTCAGGTTATCCGCCCACCTTGGCCTCCCAAAGTGTTGAGATTACAGGCATGAGCAGCTGCACCCGGCCAACTTTCAATCTTAAGTACCATTTTTTGCTGCTGTTTCTTTTTTTGAACCCCAGGAAAAAATTAACTCATTTAATCCCCTATTCAAACTGCTACAATTTTATTTTCAGTGTTGTCGCCTGGTTGTAGATGCATTTGTCTCTCCAAATGCACTGTGATTATTTCGAAGACAAAACATTTTTGGCATTGTGATATATATATATATATATATATATATATATATATATATATATATACATACACACATATATATATGTATGTATATATATGTATGTATATATGTATATAATATATATATGTATGTATATATGTATATAATATATATTGTATAAATATGTTTTATATATCATATAAAAATTATATATATATATAAATGCCACTTATCCCTAATATAGGGACTCGATTAGTTTCTGCTAGTGTGGAGACAAGTCATGTCATGGCTAGGGGCCATGATGGTAGGAGCAGTCAGAGGATTTCTTGCATTGTGGTGAGTGCATATAAGTTAAGTAAGCCACTTATCAGTAGATTTGATAGCAGGATAATAGTTATATCACTGATACCTAGGCAGTACATGACACTCAGTAAAGAATAGATTAATCCTCATGCTCTTCATCTTCCTCCTAATCTCTTTACCTGTGCTGCCCTCCAGCTTTCAAAGTGCTCTGAGTCATCACTTACACAGTGTTCCTTAGCTGCCCCTTCAGTGAGCCAGTGTTTCTGTGCCCCAGTGTTCCTGAGAGTTAGAACACAGAAAACAGAGCAGGCTCTTGCCCACATCACAGAACATCTTTGTCTCCCTGTGGATACCGCACATTTGTTCATTAGAGCTCAGGAATTGCCAGAGACTGGCTTTTCTGGCAATGGACACTAGATTCTTCAGAAGAATATTGGTTGAAATCTTCCTGCTGTGACAGTTCCCTGCACGCAGGGCAGGAGTGTGTGCTTCTTCCCAGCAAAGACAGAGGCAGGGCCTACAGAAACTGTGCCCGCAGCCTATAGTGATGGGGTCTGTGAGGTAATTCAGGCAGATGAGGCAGGTGAGTTCTTTCTGGAAGGCTTGTGGGAAGTCTAAGTCCATTTTTCTGAGGGAAGAAAACCAGAAGAATTTATTCTTATGCCATAGAGAGACAAAGATCTACACAAAGTTTGAATCAGGTTTTGAGTAGGATCTGCTCACAGGTTTAAATCTATAGCAGGATACGATTTTATTTTGCACGTAACAAAAATGAAAAATTGAGGCACAGAATTCAAGCTTTGCAGAAAAATGTGTTGGCTCCCTAACCAACACACACACACACGCCTACTTTCCCAAATTCTTTCCTCCTGTATGAAAAAACTTAAGGCTGGGCACAGTGGCTCATGCTTGTAATCCAGCACTTTGGGAGGCTGAGGCAGCAGGATTGCTTGATCCAAAGAATCCAAGACCAGCCTGGGCAACATGATGAGACCCTGCCTCTACAAAAAGAAAAGGAGGAAAAAATTAGCTGAGCATGCCAATAGTCCCTGCTACTAGGGAGGCTGAGGTGAGAGGATTGCTTGAGCCCAGGAGGTCAAGGCGGCAGTGAGCCGTAATCCAGCCACTACACTCTAGCCTGAATGACAGAGCAAGACTCTGTCTCAAAAATGAACAAAGAAAGAAAAGAAAGAAAGAGAGAGGGAGGGAAGGAGGAAGGAAGGAAGAAAGGAAGGAAGGAAGAAAAGGAAGGAAGGAAGTTTACAGAGTTTTTTGAGGTGTTAGTGTTCCCTAAATTGTATGGTCTTCAGAGGTTTACCCTCCTATAGCTTCAAGGGGTGAGTCCTGACTGGTAGGAAAATCAATCACACTCTTACTTGCCAGTGATTCATTTAGGGAAGACAGCTAACTAAGCTCTTCCACTTTGATTATTTCATTTAATTGTAACAACCATCTTATTATGACTTCTTCAAAATTACCCTGCCAGTAAGTGTTGGAGGACTCCCCAGAAGCAGAAACCACCATGCTTCCTGTATAGCCTACGGAACCATGAGCCAACTAAAGGTGTTTCTCAGGTATTTCTTTATATCTTTGGCCAAAATTAAAGAGTTAGGCTTTACTCTCCAAGATACTGCAACAGACAAAAACAAGCCACCACTGTTTTCTAATGTTGTTTTCTTGTTAATTGAATCAACAAGTATTTTCTGGTAAGTTTAGTGTTCCAGAGACTGTTAACCTGGTGATGCACCGGTTAATAAAACATCTGTAAGAGAAATAAAAGTTTAAAAATGAACCAGATGATAAAATGCAGTAGTGTACACAATGCCACTTATCCGCATGTCTTCTGTGTGTCACCCATGATCCAGAAAATGTCTTTAGTATAAGCCATTGATAAGGATGCCTGAAAAATTCACGTATAGAAGACATAGTCACAAAATTATTTTTTTCCTTTGATATCCCTTGTTACTTCAAACAGAATTTACCACTCCAATTCGATTTCTGAATACATGGGAGTTAATAGAATACTCCTAATCCATTTATAGGATCTACACTAAGTAAAAAAATTAAAGACATCTGAAAACTATTTTGTGAGTCCTTATAATCCATATCAACAATCATGGAATATGTTAAGTAATAGACCAAAAATTAATCATCATATTAACCAAAAACACATAGCAAGACAAGATAACTAAATATTTTCATTTGGAAATTGGGAAATTTAGTCAATTTTAAAACTCAGCAAATGAGATCATTTCACAGAAGCAACCTAGGTTTGCTGGTAAATTAAAATTTTGACATTTTGTTTTGGTTTGGAAGGGTAGTTCCTCTTCTGTAAATTGTGTACTCACATAAGAAATATATCTATGTTCTCACGGACACTTGCTGTAGAGGTAATAATATGAAGTTAGCTCAGGTATCAGGGCCTCACAGTGCAGTGCTGGTAGCTTTTTTTTTTTTTTTTTTTTTTTTTGCCCTGCACCTTGAGTAAAAGTTTCCTGAGGCCTCCCCGGAAGCAGAAACCACCATGCTTCCTGTATAGCCTATGGAACCGTGAGCCAACTAAGGGTATTTCTCATGTATTTCTTTATAGCAATGCAAGAACGTACTAATACAGCTAAGCAGAGGCCATCAGGACCAGCAACAGTCTGAGCTGGATGAGAGACAAAGCTAAACTTTGAGCAGCAGCAGGAGCTGCCAGGGATTACAGAAAGGAAGGACGGACTCCTAAATTCCAGGATGTCTCCTTTAAGTCTGTAAGAAGCTCAGCCACCGTCTCCTTACCTGACTCCTCTGGGAAAGAGTTTCCCTAGGTTAAGCCATACAGGGATAGGGTAGGAGATGCCATTTGGATCTAGGAGCAGAGGGCAGAGCCTCAGCAGGAAGAGTGTCTCTTTGAGAAGGAGACACAGTGGAGCAGGTGTGTAGGTTCACAGGGCCAGCTATGGGTAGAGTCGGGTGTACATTTTTAGAAGCCACAATTCCCAAAAATCTCCTGACTATAACATCAGTGCACAGAGCCAGTCAAATGGAGGAGGAGTGGGTCCAGGCAATTCAGGAAGAAGGAAAGTAACAAATGAGTGGTTGCAGGAGGACACTTTTTCTGTCGAGGTCACTAAACAAAACATTGTCTCCTCCCCTTAACTTCAGAAACAATGGAGGGTAAAAGTGTCGCCTGGGCCCTGGGGGCAAAGACAGTAGATAACTTCTCTGTCGTGTTCTCCAGAAGGGCCCAACAATTACAAGGTTCTACGGTTCTAAATTCCAATCTAGTCTTCCACATCATTTTGAAGGTATAATATTACTTGTCAAAGTGGGATGATAGAAGATATGTGTGGACATAAATTGTTGTCAAGGAAAAAAACTAAAATAAGAAAATAAGAGAAAAAATATATGTATGTACAGTGGTTAGCTAGAAATATGCCTTTTAAATATTTGGCATGTGGTATGTGGGCCTCAATGTGTACTATTGCACTAGCTTCCCAAATATTAAAGGATGTCTTTTAAAAGAAAAACCTCTTGCTAAAAGGTTAACAGTTAAAATAACCAGAGTGGCACAGGTACCAGTCATTAAGTGAAACCTTTCATCTTCCCAGAATAGTGCCTGTTCCCAAGCCAGCTTCTTTGAAAATCACTTTTCTCTCCTTTACTATTTAGTTTACAGATTGTATAGTAACAATACAGAAACCACAATAGTAGCAAAAAAAATAAAGAATATTTTTAAATGAAAACTCACATCCTAACTCTACCAAAACATGAAAATTAAACCTGAATGCCTCCCATTCCTGATATATTTTTCACCTAAATATTCAGCTCTGGGATTGCATTGTTTTTGGATTGAGTGGAAATTATTGCCTGGTCTTGAAATCTTCCATAATGTGTGTGTGTGTGTGCGTGTGTGCGTGTGTGCGTGTGTGTGTGTGTATGTATGTATGTGTGGTGAATATACTTCTTTTTGTTCAGAGCAAAGATTTTTTCAATATGTATATTTATTTTAGGCAGATTATGCTAGTAATTTTCTACAAATGTGCTTTTTAAAAAATAACCTTTAATTTAAAAAAAATTATTCTTACTCAGTGGCCCACAATTGTTAAAAACGCTACTAATGGAGCTGGGTATGGTGACACACACCTGTCATCCCAGCTACTTGGGAGACTGAGGCAGGGGTATTGCTTAAACTTGGGAATGTGAAACCAGCCTGGGCAACGTAGTGAGATCCCAATCTCAAAAATCAATCAATCATTAAAAAATAAAATAAAATAAAACACTACTAATAGCTTTTTAAAAAATAGTTCTTAACCAATTTTCCTAGCACCTTCCCTTCCTCAGTGAAGTATAGAAATATGTGGTCAGGCACTGTGGCTCACACCTATAATCCCAATAATTTGGGAAGCCAAGGCATGAGGATCAGTTGATTCCAGGAGTTCAAGACTAGCCAGGGTGACATAATGAGACTTGGTCTCTAACAAATTTTTTTTTTCTTTAATTACCAGGGCATGATGGTGCATGCCTGTAGCCCAGCTACTTGGAAGGCTGAGGTAGGAGAAACACTTGAGCCCAGGAGGTGAAGGCTGCAGTGAGCCATGGTTGCACCACTGCACTCCATACCTGGGTGACAGAGTGAGACACAGTAACAAAAACAAACAACAACAAAAAGTATTTGTTTTAGAAAAAACATTTGGTGAGGTTTGGGCTTAAAAATATATTATTCTAAAATATTCATAAATATTCTCTAGTAATGATAAGATTAAAGTGACAAAGACAAACTTTTTTCCTGTGCAGTTCCATCTCTCACCTTCCCGTAATTTGTCTGTCCCATGCAGCTTCCAAAGGAAATTATTTACAAAATAATGTCTGCATCCTGGGTCTATATATCTATTGCCTATGAGGAGAGCATTTCAGATCTGAGCCATCTTCAAGTCTTATACTTTGTGTATAGCTCTCATGTTTTTGCAGGTTATGTAAGTTTGTATACCCTTTCTTTTATTAATCTGTGTATGGTCAGTTCATTTCGGGTAATCTTCAGAGGGTGAAAGGCGAAGCTTTTCACTTCACTCCTACTGTGACAACTAACTACCTTCTTGCTTATTCAATGTTTTAGTCTATATCAACACTTTTATATACATTTACTTTTAAACAAAATTTTGCATCATTACACTTAAATTTTTATTTACCTTTTAAAAAGGAAATTAAAAATTATAAAATTTTACATAATAAAAATAAAATAAATGATTTATATAAAAATTAATCTGACCTGTGAAAAACACTGTCCAGAGGCCAGGCGCGGTGGCTAACGCTTGTAATCCCAGCACTTTGGGAGGCCGAGGTGGGTGGATCACGAGGTCAGGCGATCTAGACCAGGATGAAACCCCTCTCTACCAAAAATACAAAAAATTAGCCGGGCGTAGTGGCGGGCGCCTGTAGTCCCAGCCACTCGTAGAGGCTGAGGCAGGAGAATGGCGTGAACCCGGGAGGCGGAGCTTGCAGTGAGCCGAGATCGTGCCACTGCAATCCAGCCTGGGTGACAGAGCCAGACTCTGTCAAAAAAAAAAAAAAAAAAAAAAAAAAAAAAGAAAAAGAAAAAGAAAAACACTATCGAGAGAATAAAAAGACAAATCACAGACTGGGAGTAAAAATTTACAAAAGCTATATCTGGTGAAGATACATTTGTTATCCAAAACATACAAAGAACTCTCAGGACTCAATAATAGGAAAACAAATAGTCTAACACAAATGTAGAGATCTGAACAGACATTTCACCATAGAATACAGATGGATGATACGTAAGCACATTGAAAGATGTTCAACATCATTCATCATTAGGGAAATGTAAATTAAAACCACAATGAGATACTGCTACATGCCTATTAGAATAGCTAAAATTTAAAAGACTGACCATACTAAACATTGGTGAGAACACAAAGGAACAGGAATGCTCATACACTGCTGCTGGAAATACAGCCACTTTGTCAGTTTCTTTATAAGTTAAACTGGCTGGGAGCGGTGGCTCACGCCTGTAATCCCAGCACTTCGGGAGGCCAAGGCGGGCGGATCACGAGGTCGGGAAATCGAGACCATCCTAGCTAACACGGTGAAACCCCGTATCTACTAAAAATACAAACAATTAGCCAGGTGTGGTGGCGAGCGCCTGTAATTCCAGCTACTCCGGAGGCTGAGGCAGGAGAATGGCGTGAACCCGGGAGGCGGAGCTTGCAGTGAGCCGCCATGCACCACTGCACTCCAGCCTGGGCGACAGAGCGAGACTCCGTCTCAAAAAAAAAAAAAAAAAAAAAAAGTTAAACATATCACACCACCTAGTCATTCAAATCCTGCTTATTTGCCCAAGACAAATGAAAGTGTATGTCCAAACGATTGGACAAACATTCGTAGCAACTTTATTTGAAATAGCAAAAACAACCGGAAGCAAACCAAATGTCCATCAAGAGGTGAATAGATACACTAACTGTAGAATATCCATACAATAAAACTATTTTTTTAAAAACTACGGGGCAAAAAACAAAAAAACCAAAGATAGAATCTAACTTCTTGGTAAGTACATTCACTATTAGGGTTTTTATAACAGAGAAGTCATTCTTTATTAACACTCTTTTGACTATGAAAATATTTTGACATCAAAAATCTGCAAAATATGAAGAAACAAAGGACACACAGCTTTTTCTATTTTCTATTTTTATTTTATTTTTATTTTTTTGAGAAGGAGTCTCTTTCTGTCACCCAGGCTGGAGTGCAGTGGCGCGATCTTAGCTCACTGCAAGCTGCGCCTCCCGGTTCATGCCATTCTCCTGCCTCAGTCTCCCGAGTAGCTGGGACTACAGGCGCCCGCCACCAAGCCCGGCTAATTTTTTTTTTTGTATTTTTAGTAGAGACGGGGTTTCACCGTTAGCCAGGATGGTCTCAATCTCCTCACCTCGTGATCTGCCCGCCTAGGCCTCTCAAAGTGCTGGGATTACAGGCGTGAGCCACCGCCCCCGGCCCCAGGACACACAGCTTTAAAATTTCTCCTTGGTCTCACCCAGTGTCAACCACCTAAAACCTCTCATTTTCCCCCAGACATTTCTTCTGCCTCCAGGATGGAGGTAGAGAATCTTGGCCTTGGGCCACGCACTGGGGACCATGCTGGGCTGCCATGGTCAGTGACGGACTCAGGTTCTCACCAGGATCCCCAAAATAGGCCCCTGAAAAAAATGTTACCATCAGGGTGCGCTCCCTGATTCTTGTGTCTGCTGGAAGGAGGAAATCAAGCCAGGAACATTGTCAGGATAGAGATGAAAATAGGGCTCACTTTTCTGTCTCTTGTGATGTCAGACAAGCCTTTCAGCTCTGTCTCCTCAGCCCTCATGGAATTGTTGGTGTGGACGCACCAAGATTCTGAACTGGGTCCCCTTTCCCTCTGTCCTTCTCTGGGGCCAGATTCTGAGCTCTCCATTCCAATTTTTCCCCCAATTTGCCCTTGCATTTATTTATCTGGATTACTGTCTGCCTGTCCCAAAGAACAAAAGCTTTATCACAGTGGGGACTTTGTTTAAAAAAATAATAATAACAGCTATATTTTTAGGACCCATGACACTGACCAGCATATCGGTGGTATCTGATAAAAAATGTTTGTTGACTGAATGAACAAATATATTATTCACAATTCACATTATCCTGAACTGGCTAGAAAATTAAATACCTGATATCAGTATTGGCAACATTATGAAGTAAATATAATTCTGATACAGTGCTCGTGAAAGTCTAATATGAAATGCTCATTTTAGAAAACATTTTCTTGTAGATTTGAAAATGTTTCATCTCCATGAACTAGTTGTATATCTGCAAGTTGTGTATCTTTGGGTTAGGCAGAATAATTGCCCCCCACCAAAGACAGCCACATCCCAGTCTTCAGATAAGGTGAACATGCTAACATAAGTTAGCATGTTCAAAGGGACTTGGCAGATGTGATTACCATTAAGGGCATTGAAATGGGGAAATTACCTTGAATTACCTTGGTGAGCCAATCTAATCTCATAATTCCTTGAGAGCAGAGAATATTTTCTGGATGCTGAGATTCAGACAGATGGCAGTATGAGAAAGATGTGGCCTGCTATTACTGGCTTTTAAAACAGTGGTAGGGGGCCACAAGCCAAGGAAAGCCAGTGACCTTTAGAAGCTGGGAATGACCCGAAGTTTACAACCAGGAAGAAACTGAGGATCTACAACCACAAGGAACTGAATTCTGCCAACAACCCAGATGCTCTTTTAGAGCCTTCAGAAAGAAATGCAGCCTGCCAACATCTTGATGTTATTTCAGTGAGAGCCATGCCAGATTTTCAACCAAAACAAATCTAAGACAATAAGTTTGTGTGTGTTTATTAAAACTGACTCAAATCTTACAAAAATGTGTTATTTTAAGCCACTGAATTTGTGGTAAATTGTTACAGCAGGAATAGAAAACTGATACAACCCTAGAGAAAGTCTTGTACATGTGCCCTATAAACACACAGCAGAATTTTTTTAACTTCTTATTGAGTTAAAAAATATATATATAATTTACCATCTGTACATTTTTAGAGGACAGTTTAGTGGTGATAAATACATTTATATTTTCTTCTCTTAATCTCCTCTTCCCCCTCCCCTTGCTGGCCTCTAGCAACCACCAATTTACTTTCTATCTTCATGAGATCCACTTTTTTACTGCCCACATATGAGTGACAACATGTGGTATTTGCCTTTCTGTGCTTGGCTCATTCCACTTAACATAATGGCCTATGTTCATTATGTTAAGCCAAATGGCCAGCGCCACCTATGTTGCTGCGAATGACAGAATTTCATTCTTCTTTGTATCTGAGTAGTATTCCATTATGTATGTATATGACTTTTAAAATCTATTCATTTGTTGATGAGCACTTACATTGATTCCATATTTTGTCTATTGTGAATAGTGCTGCAGTACACATCGGCATGTAGATATGTCTTTGATACATTAATTTCCTTTATTTTGGATATATATCCAGTAAAGAAATTGCTGGACCACATGGTAGTTCTATTTTTACTTTTTTGAGGAACCTCCATACTGTTCTCCATAGTGGCTTTATTAATGTAGATTCCCACCAACAGTGTACTAGTATTTCCCTTTCTCCACATCCTTGCCAGCATCTGTTCTTGCCTGTCTTTTTGAAACAAGTCCTTTCAACCAAGGTGAGATGATATTGCATTGTGATTTTGATTTGCATTTCTTTGACGATTAGTGATATTGAACATTTTTTCGTCTTCCTATTGGCCATTTGTATGTCTTCTTTTGAGAAAATATCTGTTCAGATCTTTTGCCCATTTTTTAATTGTATTTATTTATATATTTTTAACTATTATGTTTTTAGAAGCAAGGTCTTGCTTTGTCACCCAAGCTAAAGGGCAGTAGCATAATCATAGCTCACTGTAACCTCAAACTCCTGGGATTAAGAAATCCTCCTGACCGGGCGCTGTGGCTCACGCCTGTATTCCCAGCACTTTGGGAGGCCGAGGCGGGCGGATCACGAAGTCAGGAGATCGAGACCATCCTGGCTAACACGGTGAAACCCCGTCTCTACTAAAAATACAAAAAATTAGCCGGGCTTGGTGCCGGGCGCCTGTAGTCCCAGCTACTCAGGAGGCTGAGGCAGGAGAATGGCGTGAACCCCGGGGGAGCAGTGCCTGCAGTGAGCCGAGAACGCGCCACTGCACTCCAACCTGGGCGACAGCGAGACTCCATCTCAAAAAAAGAAAAAAAAGAAAAATAAGAAATCCTCCTACCTCAGCCTCTTCAGTAGCCCATTTTTCAATCAGATTTTTTGTTTGTTTATTATTGAATTGCTTGAGCTCCTTATATATTCTACTTGTTAATCCTTTATCAGATAGATAGTTTGAAAATATTTTGTCCCATTCTGTGGTTGGCTCTTCACTTTATTGATTGTTTCCTTTGCTTGAGGCTTTTTAGTTTGATATAATCCCATTGTCTATTTTTGCTTTTGTTGCCTGTGCTTCTGAGGTCTTACGCAAAAAAATCTTTGCCCAGACTAATGTCCTGGAGCATTTCTCCTGTGCTTTCTTTTTTTCTTTCTTTTTTTTTTTTTTTTTCACGCCATTCTCCTGCCTCAGCCTCCCGAGTAGCTGGGACTACAGGCGCCCACCATCATGCCCGGCTAATTTTTTTTTTTTTTTTTTGTATTTTTAGTAGAGACGGAGTTTCACCGTGTTAGCCAGGGTGGTCTCGATCTCCTGACCTTATGATCCGCCCGCCTTGGCCTCCCAAAGTGCTGAGATTACAGACGTGAGCCACCGCGCCCAGCCTTTCCTATGCTTTTTTTTTTTTTTTTTTTTACCAGCTTCATAGTTTCAGGTCTCAGATTCAAGCCTTTAATCAATTTTTATTTGATTTGATTTTTGTGTATGGTGAGATGGGTTTAATTTTATCCTTCTGCATATAGTTATTCAGTTTTCCCCGGATCATTTATTGAAAAGACTGTTGTTTTCCCAGTGTATGATCTTGATGCCTTTGTCAGAGATGAGTTGTTTGTAAATGTGTAGATTTGTCTGCGATCTCTATTCTGTTCCACTGTCCTATGTGTCTGTTTTTATGCCAGTAGAAATATATTGGCAATAATTAGTACAGAAAAGCTGAAACAATGAAATGACAAAAGTGAATTATACTGATATAATTCATTATGCTCACTAAATGCAATAGCCTACAGCCAGGAAAACAATGTAGTGCACACGGTATTGAAATACAACACAATTCAATATACACAGTGCTCACAGTGGCCATCGTTAGAGTGTTGAAGAAGGGGATGTAGTCAGCAAAAGTTGTACAGGTGACTTCAAAAGTAATCATAAGCACTTATGATTACTTTTGGCTTAATTTCTTAAACCAAGACTGGAGACACAGGTGTTCATTATGTGCTTATTGTATATATAAAATAAATATTTTATAAATATATTGTTTCTGTTCAGTATTTAATAAAGTAAATCAATAGAAAAGGTTAAAAAGCAATGCACACATATTTCAAATATTTTTTGCTCCAAATTATATAAACATTGCATAGTTATTGCCCTGGGCCTGGCAAGGTGACTCACACCTCTCATCCTAGCACTTTAGGAGACTGAGGCAGGACGATAGCTTCAGCCCCAGAGGTCAAGGCTGCAGTGAGCCTTAATTGCACTACTGCACTCCAAGCCTAGGTGACAGAGCGAGATGCTGTCTGAAGATAAAAATAAAAATAATATATAAATATATGTTTATATATTAACTGATTTCATTAACTATATATATATATAGTTGTTGTCTTGGTCTATAGGCAGTCTTACAGTGCTTAAGACTTTGATACTGAGAACAGATCTCCCAGGTATATGCTGTGTTTCTGGGGTGACATGATGCTCTCATCTGGCCTCTGTGAGCCTAATTCTATCTTACATTTACCCTACTCTTCAACAACAACTTGGGGAGGTGTCCCTAAACATTCCCAGGTGAACCCAAACCTGTGGCCCTCAACACATTTCTAGGTAAAGCAAGCTCCTGACATATCTGTGGATATCCTCTCATTGGAAGAAGGGGGAAGAGACCATCTCAAAATAATTCATTTAATATAGCTTTTCAGCATTGATTTTATTTTGATAAAGAGACACACAGTAAATAAAATTTCTAAAAAACTATAAACTTTCAAGCATTCTCACGCTAAATCTAGACCTGCTCACATGCCAGGGAAATATAAAGGTAATCTGTTTCTCAACCTGACCAGGATGCTACAGTAATTAAAAATAAACTCAATCCCTGGATCCCTACCAAAGGGTCATTTCATATGGATCAAAGTTCTGGAAAAATTATTTGTCTGGAAATAGACTAATTCTCCAAAATATAATTGAAATAACAGCCTCTGGAAAGGGCCAAATACGACTCTTAATGATACAACAGCTAAATATAGGTCTGATGCTCATTCCGTGTGGACAACAATAGCAGCCATTCCCACAAATGGCTGATTTGTAGGAAGTAAACACTACTTTTGCAGAATCTTACATGATTTCAGTAGAAGGGCAAGGACATTTCAGTTGGGAACAGATTGCTCCATGGTAATGTGATCACTGTGTACCCAACAATGGCTCTTTCTTCCTAGCGTCAATGCAGATGTTATTTTCACCTTAACTGTTATCATTGTTGTTTCTAACCACATGAAAGTGTATCCTTTATATATCTGAAGTAAATTCATACTAGTGGTGTAACATCTCCAGCCATTTAAGTGTAAAAACAGAAAACGTATGATGTGTTTACGTACTGTTTTATACTCCTAACGCATGAAGAGAAGATCCTTTTATTCATTGCCTATACTTTTATTTCTAAACTTTCTGTAACACTTTATCTTATATCCAGCATAGAATTAAGATTTGCTTTTCGATTTAATCTGACAATATTTTTTCCTCTAATAAGAGTCAAGTCCACTTACTTTTAATGATAAGTTGTGTTTGGTTATATTTTGATTACAGTATATTATGCTATGATTTATATGCACATATCTGTCTTTTGCTGTCTTGTTTGTTTTTATTGCTTTTGTTTTGATGTTGTGATATTTGGAAGAGTTAAACTTTTATTCTGATGGCTACCTTATGTAATTTCATAAAATCATCTCTTTCTTTGGACAGTAGCTAATGTCTCTAAACTAAGAACAATGGTATTAGCTGTATTCTCTTTCTTGTCCTCCCTATGTGATTTTTCATCCCACAATTTGATTTAATCATATTAACTTTGTTTCCCCTGGTGCCATTAAGTATGCTTACATTTCTATAAACAATATCCTTTGACTCCCAGGCATTACAGATGAGCAGTCAGTAAAATCATTCTGAGGAATACTTTCTCTTTCCTTTTCTTCCATTTTTCTTAGTTGTATCATTTCTATATTGCCAGAGCACCTACAGTTGCATTTCTTTCTGTCAGCTTTATCCAGCATTTGTTTTTGTCTTTTATTTGAAGTTAAATATATTCCTTGCTCACTACAACACTGGGGGAAGGAAGGTTTCTGTTGTCATTGTTGTGCTTGTACAGTTGTGTATTTAAAAACATTGGCGAAAACAAAAACTGTACGTAGATGGAATGGAGATAAGACAGAAAATGAGAGAGACTGATGATGAGTGTGCCTATTCTAGACTGGGAGGGGTGCTACACTGAACAGTGTCTCCAAGGCTGCAGGAAAGGATGGTTGATTGTGAGCAGGTGGACTTTCCACTGGAGGAGAGAAGTCCTGCGCTCAACAACCTGTGCAGAACCAGAAACGGGTAATGGTTCAAATCAACTTACAGACCTGGAGGTAGAAATTTAAGAAAACTCATTTAGCACCTAGGTTCCTAGAAAATATTAGCTACTATTTGCTGAGCATCTGTCGGTCTGTCTGTAGCATGGAAGATCTGAGTACAGGGGAAACTGGATTAGTAACAGTGGGTCAGAAAATTATATAATATTCAACCAAAATTCCTGCTTTACATACACAGCACCTGGTATTTCCAGAACTAGAAGGTAAAGAAATTATTTGTGCTTGAACTTGCAGAAAACTGCCTTTTCCCTTCTTCTCTTGCATCTTAACCTGGAGCTTCCCTTTTCTTGAGCCTCAGTGTGCTTCCCAACTCAACTTATAATTGACTTCCTGCAGTTTCTCCTTAGGACAGGGCTTTGTTTTGGGGGTGGTCAATTTGTAGGGTTCATAGGAAACAGACCACTCACAGCACCTGCTTTATGCCATCCTCACTCTCAGCAATGAGTTGAGGCCCAGGAAGCCTTCTGCCAGCCTCAGCTGCTGTTCTCAGATTAATCTGCTGAGTTCTTTTTGCCTACTAAGAATCTCTGAATTTAGGAACAT
This sequence comes from Homo sapiens, assembly GCF_000001405.40. Taxonomy (NCBI): domain Eukaryota; kingdom Metazoa; phylum Chordata; class Mammalia; order Primates; family Hominidae; genus Homo; species Homo sapiens. The sequence goes on from NC_000002.12 coordinate 94,251,171, forward strand.
AGATGTTAGCGCTTGTATATCTAGGTTTTCCAGTTCCCAGGGCCATTAAACATTTTTTTCCTTTCCTTTCCTTCTTCCAAAAAAATTGGTGATTCCCCTGGGTCCCTGTGGTTTAACCTCACAAAAGGTCCATGATGACACCCTGTTACATTGTTTTGTCGTAGTTAATACCTTGTTATCCTAGTTGCTCAGTCCGTTTTTGTGAGAGATTCAGGGATATTAATAAAACTGTGCTGCTACTGCTACTAACATCTTGCATAAAAGCCCTATTAATTAAAATGTTTATTTTGCATGTGATTTGAACTTGTAATTTTTATTCAAAGTTTTTCAACAGAGATCCAGAAAAGACCCTCCTTATATTTTTAGTTTTGTGCATTGCAACACTTTCTAGTGAAAAAAAAAAAACATGAGAACAACACAAGTGATTTTAAAAGAATAAACCTACAATCCATTAATTATAAAATGAAATACTATGCAGGTGTTAAGAACGAGGGAATCAATAAGAACTTGTGTGGGGTAACTATAAACTTTAAAAAAATAAATTTAATGCTCATGTGACCATATTATCGTTAAAAAAATACAAGCATACTTGCACACACCTTCAAGCAAAATGGGTACACGCATTTAAAGATATTTAAATTAAGTAAATGGCCCAATAATTTAACTTTGTATAATTCTATGTTCTCTGATTATTTTATATGCTAGAAACAGGCATTACTGTTTTGTTTATTTCATTTGAAATAATTGTAGTCACATGAGGTTTAAGTTATAATACAGAGAGGTCACATATGCCTATTTTCTAATTGGATACCTTATTTATTACTATTGAGTTTTGAGAATTTTTTACATATGCTAGATGTAAGTTCTTTGTCAGATATATGGTATGCAAATTATTTCTCCCACTCTGTAATTCATTTTTTCAACCTCTTTACAGGGTCTTTCTAACTAAAAAAAAAAAAAAAAAAAAAAAAAAAAAAAAAAGTGTTTATTTATTTGAATGAAGTCCAGTTTTATCACTTTTTCCTTTTGTAGATTTTGTTTTTGATATCAAGCCTAAAAATTATTTGCCTAGCCCAAGGTCTCAAGAGTTTTCTTCTATTTTAAAAAGTTTAATGAATTTATTTATTTATTAATTATTTTTGAGACGAGGTTTCACCCAAGCTGTAGTGCAGTGGTGCCATCATTGCTCACTGCAGCCACTAACTGCTGGATTGAAGTGATCCTTCCACCTCAGCCACTTGAGTAGTAGCTGGGATTACAGGCACGAGCTACCATACACAACTTTAAGTTTTATAATATTACATTTTACATTTAAGCCTGTGATTTATGTGAGCTAAATTTTATATAAAGTATAAATTTAGGTCAGTCTTAGTTTTTGTACCTGTGAATGTCCAATTGCTCTAGCACCATTTGTTGAAAAAGATATCCTTCCTTTAAGCTGATTTTGCATTCTTGTTAAAAAAAAAATCAGTTGAATATAGTGTGGTCTGTCACCTTTTAATAAGATAAAAACACTGGCACTCACCAGATATCGAAGTTTAGAAATTTTTTTAAAGCTAAACTTCTGAAAATTGAATAAAAACACCTCCACATGTCAAATTAGTCAATTTGTATAGGACTAATTCATTTAAATATATTAAAATACAAAATAATTCAAACCACTAAAGTGATAATACAAGACTATAAATTTAAAGGCTAATTATTAAGTCAAATTGCTGTATTCTACGTGTTAGAGTGAGTTCAAAAGATCCATTGTATTACTGAATAGGCAAAAGTTTTAATTTCAGAGGATGAAACTGATATATTACTGCCACCTTGTGGATATTCTGTTATTATAGGCTATTATAAAAAGCAATGAGGTTATGTAATCTGTTCTAACAAGAAGCATTTCCTTTTTTTGTCGTTTTTATTATTGTTATTATTACATTTTAAGTTCTGAGATACATGTACAGAACGTGGAGGTTTGTTACATAGGTATACACATGCCATGGTGGTTTACTGCACCCATCAACCCATCATCTACATTAGGTATTTCTCCTAATGCTATCACTCCCCCAGCCTCCCACCCCCCTGACAGGCCCCGGTATGTGATGTTCCCCTCCCTGTGTCCATGTGTTCTCATTGTTCAACTCAAAAGAAAAACAGAAGCATTTCCTGCTTTCCCAATTTCTTAGATACAATGCAACTTTATGTTTAATTTAACTAACTTAATTTTTTGAGACAAGGTCTAGCTCTGTTGCCCAGGCTGCAGTGGAGTGGCGTGAATATGGTTCAGTGAAACCTCCACCTCCCTGGCTCAAGTGATCCTCCTTCCTCAGCCTCTCGCGTAGCTAGGACCACAGGCACGCACCACCATGGCCAGCTAATTTCTTTTTTATTTTTTGTAGAGATGAGGTCTCACTTTGTTGTCCACGCTGGTCTCAAACTCCTGGGCTCAAAGGATCCTCTTGCCATGGCCTCCCACAGCGCTGGGATTTATAGGTGTGTGCCATGGCACCGGGCCTAAGCAACTGTAGAGAAGCCTTTTTTTTCTTTCATAAAAACAGTTGTAGATATTTTCCTTATGGAATTTATTTGTGGTGAAATATTTTAATAGACAGTCTTCTTTTTCTATGAAAAATGAAAGTTGATTCTGACATTTATGTAAACATTTTAAATATTCAAAGTATATAAATGTGAAGTCCTATCAAGAGTAATTAGACAAGAGAAAGAAATAAAGGGCATTCAAATCGGAAAGGAGGACATCAAATTGTTCCTGTTTGCAGATGACATGATCTTATATATAGGAAAACCTGAAGACTCTACCAGAAAACTTTTAGAACAAACAAATTCAGTGAAGTTGCAAAACACAAAACTAATACACAAAGATTGGTTGCGTTTATATATATGAACAACAAACTCGCTGAAAAAGAAATTAAGAAGGCAAACCCATTTACAATAGTTACCAAAAAAAAAAACCCAGACATAAATGTAACCAAGGAGGTAAAATGAAAACTACAAAACACTAATGGAAGAAATTGAAGAGGATACAAACAAATGAAAAGACATTCACACTCATGGATCAGAAATATGAATGTTGTTAAAGTGACAGTACTACTCAAAAGCAACCTACAGATTCAATGCAATCTCTATCAAAATACCTATGAACATTCTTCACAAAATTAAAAAAAAATCCAAAGAGATTTTATGGAATCAAAAAATATCCTGAATAGCCAAAGCCATCCTAAGCAAAAAGAACAAAGCTGGATGTATCGTGCTACCAGACCTCAGAATATACTACCAAACTGTAGTAACCAAAACATCATGGTATTGGCATAAAAACAGACACATAGACCTATGGAATAGAATAAAGAACCCAGAAAATCCACATATCTCAGCCAACGGATTTTTTGCAAAGGTGCCAAGAACACTCATTGGGGAAAGGATAGTCTCTTCAATAAATGGTGCTGGAAAAATTGGATATCCATATGCAGAAGAATGAAACTAGACCTCTGCCTCTCACCCTATACAAAGATCAACCCAAAGTATCTCAAATACCCAAATATTAGGCCCAAAATGGTAAAGCTACTAGAAGAAAACATAGGGGAGATCCTTCAGGACATTGCTCTGGGAAAATATTTTATGAATAAGGCATCAAAAGCACAGGCAACAAAAGAAAAAATAAACAAATGGGATCACATCAAGCTAAAAATCTTCTGCACGGCAAAGGAAATAATAAAGTGAGTGAAAAGACAACCTACAGAATGGGAGAAAATATAAACTCATCTGGCAGGAAATTAATATCAAGTATATACAAGGAATTCAAACATATCAACAGCAAAGAAGCACAACAATCTAATTAAATATAAACAAATGCTCTGAACAGACATTTCTCAAAAGAAGACATACAAATGACCAACAAGTATATGAAAAAATGTTCAACACCACTAATCAGCAAGGAAATGCTAATCAAAGCCACAGTGAGGCATCATCTTACTCCAGTTAGGATGGCTATTATGGAAGAGACAAAAATAACAAATGCTGACAAAGACGTGAAGAAAAGGGACTTTTTTTTGACAGAGTCTCACTCTCCATCCAGGCTGGAGTGCAGTGGTGGTGTAATCTGGCTCCCTCTGCTTCTAGGGTTCAAATAGTTCTCCTCCCTCAGCCTCCTGAGTAGCTGGAGAAAAAGGAACTCTTATGCACTGTTGGTAGGAATGTAAATTAGTGCAGCCAGTATGGAGAACAGTATTGAAACACCTCAAGCAATCCCACTACTGGGAACTTATCCAAAGGAAAGAAAAGCATTATATTGCAGAGACATCTGCATCCCCATGTTTATTGCAACAGTGTTCACAATAGCCAAGATATGGAATCAACCTAGTTTCCAACAACAGATGAATGGACTTTTAAAATATGGTATATATACACCAAGGAATGCTATTTAGCGATAAAAAAGAATAAATAAAATCCTGTCATTCTCAGCAACATGGATGGAACTGGAGGATATTATGTTAAGCAAAATAAGCCAGGAATAGAAATTTCAACACCACATGTTCTCACTCACGCAGAAGCTAAAAAAAAAAGTTGATCTTATAGAAGTAAAAAGTAGAACAGAGGATACTGCAGGCTGAAAAGGGTAGGGAGAAAGGAGGAATAGTAAGAGATTTGTTAATGGATACAAAATTACAGCTAGGTAGGAGTAATAAGTTCTAGTGTTCTATAGTACCGTAGATGACTATAGTTAACAATACTATATTATGTAGTTTAAAATACCTAGGAGTAGTTTGAATGTTCCCAACACAAAGAAATAATAAATGTTTGAGATGATAGATATGCTAATTACCCTGATCTGATCACCATCTACATGTACTGAAACATCCCCGTATAGCCATGAATATGTATAATCTTTGTCAATTTAAAAAGTAAAAAAAAAAAAAAATTAATCTTGGAGAATGCATTTGAAGAACTTTTACTCAAGAAATCAACTTAAGAACCTGAGTCTCCTTGGAATTTGTGTTTTCTAGACCAGTACTTCTCCAAATTAAAGCAAATTTAGGCTGGGCATGGTGGCCCATGTCTATAATCTCAGCACTTTGGAAGGCCGAGGCGGGCAGATCACTTGAGGTCAGGAGTTCGAGACCAGCTGACCCAACATTGTGAAACCCTGTCTCTACTAAAAATACAAAAATTAGCCGGGCATGATGGCATGTGCCTGTAATCCCAGCTACTTTGGAGGCCGAGGCAAGATAATCGCTTGAACTGGAGAGGTGGAAGTTGCAGTGAGCCGAGATTGCACCACTGCGCTCCAGCCTGGGCAACAGAGCAAGACTCTGTCTCAAAAAAAAAAAAAAAAAAAAAAAAGCGAATTTAGTTCACTTTGGTATTGTGTCAAAATGTTGATTCTTTTAAAGTACATCTAAAGAATTTAGATGTAGTTGAAGTTTGTCATCTGTTCTTAATTTTTTTAATAAAAATATAATATTTAGATTCAGAGTAAATCTAAAGTGAGACCTGAAGCTGCTCCCAGGTGATACTGATGCCGCTTATTTTTGCCCAGATTTTGAGTCACAAGGTTCTAAATTATTGTTTTGAAGTCCTACATGAGTAATCACTTGGGGAGCTCAATTAACACCCAGCAACAGACTAATTATTAATAAACCAGAATCTTCAGTATTAGGCTTCAATCATTGGCAATTTTTTTTTTTTTGACACACAGTCTCCCACTGTCGCCCAGGCTGAAGTCCTGAGGCCAGAATGAGACTAGGACATGGTTCCTTTGCCTAAGTAAAGTGAGGCAGACAATGGAGTACTTCAGACTTCAAATTAGTATGGTAAGTGCTATGAAGAGTATGATTAGAGTTCATTATTTACCCAGAAAAGGGTCACTCAGCCCAGCCTGGGAGTTAGAGAAGGTTTCCTGAAGTCTTGACATGTGAGTCATGAAAGGACATAAGGAGTTAACCACGTGACAAAATAAGCTAAGGGAATTCTCAACAAAAGACAAAATATTGGCAAAGGCTTTTAGGCATATACTAGCTTAGTATTATTGGGAGAATGTAATGATTTTCTGTATTTCAAAAGTGTAAAATACAAAGTGGGCCATGGCATGAGATAAACCAGTGAATATGTTCTGGGAACAGGTCATAGAAGGGCGTGTATGCTGTCCTAAGGAGCTTAAACTTCAACTTCAGTTCATGGGAGCCAATGACAAGATCTGAGCAGGGGAAGGTTGTGGCTAGAGGGGCATTTTAGACAGACAAGATCCTCTGTGGATTACACCTAGGCTAAGCAACGGGTTAAAGTTGTTGTCTTAAGACGATGGTCCAGGTAAAAGATAATAAAGTTTTAAATTAGGATGTTAGTAGGAATGAGGAAGAGGGATGGATTTCAGAAATAGTAAGGAAATGTATTAGCAGGACTTGATTAGTGATTGACTTGGGGAAGGAGGGGAAGATAGAGTTCAGGATGACTCCGAGACTGTCTGGTGTCGGTGGCTAATGACTGAAGCTATTAATAGAGGTAGGAAATGCAGACCAAAAGCAGGCCCGGGGTGAGAGATGATAAATTTGAATTTTAACATGTTGAGTTTGGACATCCAGGATGAAATAACCACAAAACATTTAAATATACGAATCTGAAAAGGTAAGCATCATAAGCATATGAGCTATTGGTAAAATTCTGATACTTAATGAAGTCTCGCAGGGAGGCAGTACAGAGGCAAGCAATGGGCTGGGGATAAAACATAGGGAAATATTATTTAAATAAAGATGAAAGAAAAGGAGCCCACAAAGGAAGCTGAAAAGGCATAGTCAAAAAAAGAGGCTTGCCAAAGTGCCACCTTTGAAGCTCTGCTGTTACACTTTATAAGGAAACTTTTGGTTACCTGAGATTGCATGCATTTATAAAAGTTTCTATTATTAGGAAGACAATAATAATGATAAGGCTCTTTCTCATTGTTGTCAGTGTAATTTATCTATTTAATTATAGAACCTAGTTCCAGGATGCTTAATCTGAAGTATATACTTGGGGCAAAATGAATTATATCTTAATAATAATCTGGAATTTTTCTCTCTAACTTGACATATTTTAATTCTTGCTAGATTTTCAAAATGTCATACCTCGAACCACCACCAGATGGCTATGAGAATGTTACAAATATTGTGCCACCATATAATGCTTTCTCAGCCCAAGGCATGCCAGAGGTAAAATAAAATACATTTGTAACCCAAGTCTTTAAATGGTTCTTTTGCTATATAAAACCTGTATAGAGGACTAAAACCAGGGAAATTAGGTGAATCATTCATGCGGATTCATTGTTTGATATTCAGTACTATGAAAACCTCATCCCTCAAATTTAAAAAATTATAATAAAATAGAAAAGAACACCAGACAGAGAAAAAAGAAACAAAACAAATACATTAAAAACTGACCCTGCTGAAGCAGATGCCACTCTTTGAAATAACAAAGAAACTGCTGAACACGCCTTTAATTCAGTGAGGCAGTAGGTGTTTTTTTCTTTGTTTGTTTTTGTTTCTTTTTTTTTTTTTTTTTGAGACGGAGTTTCGCTCTTGTCACCCAGGCTGGAGTGTGGTGGCACAATCTGGGCTCACTGCAACCTCCGCCTCCCAGGTCCAAGCAATTCTCTTGCCTCAGCCTCCTGAGTAGCTGGGATCACAGGTGCACACCACCACAGCCTGCCAATTTTGTATTTTTTTTAGTGGAGGCGGGGTTTCTCTATGTTGGTCAGGCTAGTCTCGAACTCCCAACCTCAGGTGGTCTGCTCACCTCGGCCTCCCAAAGTGCTGGGATTACAGGCGTGAGCCACCACGTTAAAAAGGGAAACTTCCTATTTGCCCTCTAAAGGTTTGCAGAAAATGAATGGACAAAACATAAATTAATAGAAGAAAGAGGCAAAAAAAAAAAATTCTGTAAAATGTAGGCGAAAAATCACAGGGTCTCAGTTACCCAGCATGAAGTGCAGTGGTGTGATCATGGCTCCTTGCAACCTTGAATTCTCAAGCACAAGTGATTCTGCCCCCTAAGCCTATGGAGTAGCTGGGATCACAGGGGCATGCCACCATGCCCACATACATGGGTATTTGCTGGAGAGGAGATGGAGACTCGCTGTCCTGGATGTGAGACAGGTGGCTGGCATCTGGGTAAGGATGACATTCCCTCATTGCTAAAGAGTAAAAGAGGAAAGTGTCATGGATAGTGCAAGCAGGGACATGCCCTGACCTAGTGAGGTCCAGAGGCTTATATTGTCCTTCATAGGGGAGTGGGAAGAAGCGAGTGTAGGCAACCCAGGGGAAATAAATGACCTAAAATAAAAGAAATAGATCATCAGAAGTGTAGACGTATTAGTCAGGGTTCTCTAGAGTGACAGAATTAAAGGACTATATACATATATATATGAAGGGGAGTGAGATGGTTAATAATGACTGTCAACTTGATAGGATTGAGGGATATGAAGTATTGATCCAGGGTGTGTCTGTGAGAGTGTTGCCGAAAGAGATTAACATTTGAGTCAGTGGGCTGGGGAAGGCAGACCCACCCTTAATCTGGTGGGCACAATCTAATCTGCTGCCAGCAAATATAAAGCAGGCAGAAAAATTTGAAAAGGAGAGACTGGCCTAGCCTCCCAGCCTACATCTTTTTTCTCCCATGCTGGTTTCTTCCTGCCCTCAAACATTGGACTCCATGGCTCTCCTTTCTCATCAGTTTGCAGACAGCCCATTGTGTAACTTATGATCCTGTAAGTTAATAAACTCCCCTTTGTAAATAAATATATATATGTGTGTGTGTGTGTGTGCATATATATATGTGTGTGTGTATGTATATATATATGTATATATCCTGTTAGTTCTGTCCCTCTAGATGTCACTGGCTTATACAGGAAGTTTATTAAGTATTAACTCACACAATCACCAAGTCTCACAATAGGCCATCTGCTGGATGAGGAGCAAAAAGAGCCAGCCAGAGTTCCAAAACTGAAGAACTTGGAGTCCATGTTCGAGGGCAAGAAGCATCCAGCATGGGAGAAAGATGTAGGCTGGGAGGCGAGGCCCGTCTCTTTTCACATTTTTCTGCCTGCTTATAGTATGGCTGGGTTGGCAGCTGATTGGATTGTGCCCACACAGATTAAGGGTGGGTCTGCCTTTCCCAGCCCACTGACTCACATGTTAATCTTTTTTTGGCAACACCCTCACAGACACACCCAGGATGAATACTTTACATCCTTCAATCCAATCAAGTTGACACTCATTATTAACCATCACAAGCCCACCCCTTGTGAACTTGAACCCACACACATCTCCTGAGATCATACATAATCTTAAAATACAGACAATAGTAAGGTCATAATTACCCCTAACATAATAAACTATCCTTCCTACAACTGGAAATGCACCCATCCCCAACCCAAATACTCTTACATAAAGTAAACAATACTTAAATGCTGATATGAGGTCAGCAAATCTATGTCACCTGATAAAGAAAAGGGAAATGAAATGAAGATATTTTCTTAGTACAAGTGCATACATGCACAAACATGTTTTTAACAAAAGAAGAAGGAAATACTCATGATAGTTCCAGTCCTCATTTCTGCAGCTGGTCAGGTGGTCGTAGCTGGTATTGATAACTACTTTCTTCCACTATTTATTCTGTATTCCCTTTGCCTTCAGCAAGCACCTCAGCAGGTCGTGACCCGGAGAGGATCTGGACCATTTGTAGTCCTACCTGGATTGGGTATAGTTTCCCATTTACCTTAATCAGAGTGCATGATAATACCAAGAGACGCCCTAATGGATCTCCTATATTCCACGCATACTCTTCCTCACTTCCGTTGTGGAGTAGCGGACTGACTTCATCTTGATAGTCTGGGTCAATCACTGCCGCCAACACTGTAACTCCATTCTTAGCTTGTTGACTTAAAGGTAGGAGGACCCCAAAGCGTCCAAGTGGCCATCTTAACTTCCAGTTTAATGGAATCGTTATTGTGTCTCCTGGTAGCAGCGTTCTTCCCTCTGGAGCTAAGATGACTAGTAAAGCAGAACCTAATGTCATGGGAACAGAAAGCAAACATTTTGCCAGTGCATCATAGTGAGTGGTTCCACTTTCACATCCACCCCTTGAATCCTGGATCTGTGAATCCTGGCTATGGGAGAAACAATACCATACATTGGGCGCTGATTCAGAGCACACATGGCCTTCTGGAGTATGGTGCCCCGGCCCGGCAAAGTATTGTAACCTAGTTGACGTTGTAATCGCGACCTCAAAAGGCCGTCCCACCATTCTATCAATCCAGCTGCTTCAGGAAGATGGGGAATATGGTAAGACCAGTGAATTCCGTGAGCATGAGCCCACTGCCTCACTTCTTTACCTGTAAAGTGAGTGCTTGGTCAGAGGTAATGCTGTGTGGAATACCGTGATAGTGGATAAGGCATTCCTTGAGTCCATAAATGGTAGTCTTGGCAGAAGCATTGCATGCAGGTGGGCAAGCCCATATCCTGAGTAAGTGCCTGTTCCAATGAGGACAAACCTCTCTCCTTTCCATGGTGGAAGAGTTCCAATATAATCAACTTGCTACCGGGTAGCTGGTCGATCACCCCAGGAAATGATGCCATACAAAGGGTTCACTGTTAGTCTCTGCTGCTGCTGCTGGCAAATTGGGCACTCAGCAGTGGCCACAGACAGTTCAGCCTTGGTGAGTGGAAGTCCACCTTGCTGAATCCATGCATAGCCTCCATCCCTGCCACCATGGCCACTATGTTCATGGGCTCATTGGACAATGACAGGGGTGTCTGAGGAAAGAGGCTGAGTGGTATCCACAGAACGGGTCATCTTATCCACTTGATTATCAAAATCCTCCTCTGCTGAAGTCACTTGTTGGTCAACACTCACACAGGGTACAAATATCTTCAGTTTTTGACCACTCAGAGAGGTCCATCTACATACTCTTTCTCCAAGTTTCTTTGTCACCAATTTTCCAATCATGCTTCTTCCAAGTCCCTGACCATCCAGCCAAACCATTGGCTACAGCCCATGAATCAGTATATAACCGCACATCTGGAAATTTCTCCTTCCATGCAAAGTGCACAATCAGGTGCACTGCTCAATGTTCTGCCCACGGGGAAGATTGTCCTTCACCACTGTCCTTCAGGGATGTCCTAGAAAGGGGCTGTAGTGCTTCAGCTGTCCACTTTTGGGCGGTACCTGCCTATTGTGGAGAACCATCTGTGAACCGGGCCCTAGTCCTCCCTTCCTGTGTCAACTGCTCAAAGGCAAGTCCCCATGAGGTCATCAGTGCAGGCCGTGGGAGAGAAGGCAGGGTGGCAGGAGTAGAGACCATGGGCATTTGAGCCACTTCCTCATGTAACTTACTTGTGCCCCCCAGGACCTGCTAAGCCCAATCACTTATACACCATTTCCATTTGATGATGGAATGCTGCTGTGCATGACCCACTTTATGGCTACATGAGTCAGAAAGCACCCAGTTCGGGATAGGCAGTTCAGGTCGCATGGTGACTTGTTGACTCATAGTCAAATGTTCAGTTTCCACAAAAGCCCAGTATAGGACAAGAGCTGTCTCTCAAAAGGAGAGTAGTTAACTGGAGAAGATGACCGGGCCTTGCTGCAAAATACTAGAGGCCTCCACCATGATTCACCTATGGAGGCCTGCCAAAGCCTCAAAGCAGCATTCCTATCTGCCATGGACACCTCAGGGGGACCCAGCCTCCCCTTCATTCAAGGGGTTCTGGGTCTGTAAACTGGCTCAAGGCTGGAAATTGATTGAGGGGCCATGAATCTCTGTTTTTATGATTCCAATCAGTCTTTTATCTGTTTGACCTTAAGTTTCCTCCTTACATAAATTAAGTAGGAATGCATTAGTCTTCCTGTCAGTTTCACTTCTAGGAACACTGTGATTAGTTAGCCAATGCCAGAGCTCTACATGAGTCAGACTGTTCAGATTGCTGCTTTGTCTTTTCTGCCCATTACGGTAGCTACACCCACCGTGCCTTTGAGGGTTGAGTGCTACCACTTGGCCCCTGCCACTTCAGGATCCAATTATTCCAAATTGTATTTAACTTTTGTAACTGAGTGACTGCAGTTCTCACCATTAGATCTGACATACAGAGAAGAGCCTTTACAGGGCTCTTCAAAGATGCAGGTGCTGTCCTCACAAATCTATTTTGCAAGGTGTTTGTCAAGGGTATTAGGTACAGAGTCACTAAACTCCTTGCCTCTCACGAGCGATGATTCATTAGTGTCAAATGAATTTGTTTTGCATAGCTCTTTAAACCTTTCATGCCAAGAACTGTCAATATTCTCTACACTATTAAAAGTAGAGTCCTTAGCATTTTGGGATCTAATCATATTTAGCAGCCAAATCCAGAAACCCCAAAACCAACAAAAGAACTCCAACCTTAATATTCTGTTCCTGCAGAACCATTCCTGGTACCAAAATCTGTATTAGTGAGGGTTCTCTAGAGGGACAGAACTAATAAGTTCAATATATATATATATATACATATATATAGGTTTATTACATATTAACTTACAGGATCACAAGTCCCACAGTAGGCTGTCTGCAGGCATGAGGAGTGAGGAGTAAGGAGAGCCAGCTCGAGTCTCAAAACTAAAGAACGTGGAGTCCGATGTTCAAGGGTAGGAAGCATCCAGCACGGGAGAGAGATGTAGGCTGGGAGGCTGGGCCAGACTCACTTTTTCACTTTTTTCTGCCTGCTTTATATTCACTGGCAGCTGATTAAATGGTGCCCATAGATTAAGTAGGGGGTCTGCCTTCCCCAGACTACTGACTCAAATATTAATCTCCTTTGGCAACACCCTCACAGACACACCCAGGAGCAATGCTTACATCCTTCAATGTAACCAAGTTGACAATCAGTATTAACTATCACAGGATTACAGACCTGAGCCATCACACACAGTGTTATTGTATATTTCATACAATTTCCTGATTTTCCCATTTTATCTGTGACTTAATAAAGTTTTCCAGCTATGACCCCAAACTGGTAATACTTGAAAGCACATTCAAATGTATTTTGCAACAATTCGTAACTGGCAAAATGTTGAGCCTTGTGGAAAGAGTCACCTTACTTCCCCGTCAGCTGTCAATTCCCCATCATTACTATCGCTTCTGGGAGCACATTGTCCAAAACTCCTTTTCTCTCTATGGTTTCTTTAGGGTTGCTCCATGAGGTTACAATAAGTTACAACTAATTACTGTCATGAGATTGGGAAGTCAGAGTGGTGGATTCATGTACACTGACACCTGAAGTAAAACACATGCAGTTAGGTGTGGACTGGAGAATCACCTGGAGATGTGCTGCAGGCAGCTGAGAGCATCAGCACCCCCAGCCCTGGGCTTCCCAGACAGGACTGAGGATCATCACACGGTGTTCAGCACATACCGCCAGGGGCAGGTGCATCCTGGCTTCTGAAGTAGCACCTGAGAATCCCCTGTGTCTAGTACCTGCTTCATGAATAACACTCCATAGGCTTCGGAAAGACTGTGGCTTAGACTCTAATTTATTCAACTTGAATAATTTCTCCTTGAAATACTGAGAATAGCTTCTCTTTTGCTGTACAAATTCCGATTATCCCATAACACAGACTCCTCAGCTGGACTTATCTCTCTTCTTTATTCAGTCAGGACAGGCATTGTCACGTCTTTTCTGCTGGGGATGAGGGCGAAAGAGGCTTAGGGTTCAGAGGAACCTCCCTGGCCTCCTCTAGGAAAATCTCCCGATGACTTTCCAAACCTGACTGAGTTTGAGAACTTCCCTCAGCAGATAGAGGCACCAGAAGGAGCACTGGGGCAGCCCAGCCTCACACATCTGCTTCCTTGGGGTTTATGTTATGACTTGTAACACTGTGGGAGGGGTACTGTCACTCTGTTGACAGTAATAAGCTGCAAAATCTTCAGGCTGCAGGCTGCTGATGGTGAGAGTGTAATCTGTCCCAGATCCACTGTCACTGAACCGAGAGGGAATCCCACTTTGCAGACTGGATGCAGCATAGATCAGGAGCTTAGGAGTTTTCCCTGGTTTCTGCTGATACCAATTTAAATTATTGCTAATGCCCTGACTCGCCCGGCAAGTGATGGTGACTCTGCCTCCTACAGATGCAGACAGGGAGGATGGAGACTGGGTCATCTGGATGTCACATCTGGCACCTGAAGTTAGAAACATAAAAACAAATATTCTTGCAATTAATCATGTTATCAGAGGACTTCCCTGAAGTTCCTGACAGTACTGAGCACACTGACCGAGTATAATCCTAGTGTTCTCCTTCCTTACCTGGCAGCCAGAGCCCCAGGAGCCCCAGGAGCCCCAGGAGCTGAGTGGGGGCCCTCACGTCCTTGCTGTGTCCTGACTGGGGCTGACTCCTGCACCGGGTGTGACCAGCCTATAAGAAGTCTTCAGGGCAGGGGGCTGTGCTCTAGGAACAGGCAAATCAGCAGGGGATGGGGCAGGCTGAGCACAGCTGCAGGGCTGGCTCATCTCAGTAACTCAGCACACGGGCGCAGTATCCCCAGAGTCCCAGGTCAGACCAGGGCAGCACAGATTTACCTTGAAAGAGTACACTTCTCATTGGTGGCCATACGGTTACAGAGCATATGTTTGGAGTGAATTTTCAAAATTTTAAATCAACCTAAGACTAGATTAAATAATATATTTATACTTGTATTAGGAGTGTATAGGAAAGCATCATTTTTGGCAGAAAATTTACAATAAAGTTATAGAGTGTGGGGCTGTCAGAAATTTCAGTTAGTCTCAAAGGAATTCGATGAGTGTAAAAGTATTTAGTGCTATAATAACAATGTCTCTGTCAGTGTGAAATTGCTTCTTTTTTGAAATGAATATAAAAAGAATTTATCAGAAGCATCTTTAATAAATTCAATAGAATTTACTAACAAACTTAAGACATTGTTCCTAGGAGTAAAAGGAAAAACAATTCTCTGAAGATGCACAAAGATGATGACTGTGTCACGCATATATCTGCCATTATCCAGAGCTATGGGTCTCTTTAAGACCCAGGGGCTAAATGGGCTGCACCTTATTCTTGGCGTGATGATCCCCATATTCTATTCCCTTTCCTGCCTTTGGTATAATTTCTTATGGTTCTCCAGCATGGAGAGCTGACTAGTAATACCAGGTCTCATTATTTCAAAATCTCTGTTTCACTCGCGGACTATAGGAGCCTGGATTAAAATCAACTTGAAGCCCTCTATCAATCTAGGCTCAAATAGTCAATTGTTTCAAAGTAGGATGACAAAGGCCACATCCCCTGAGTAATGCTCTGAGCTGCGCTCCCCACCAGCCTGTTCCTGGGGTCTCAGGAGCATCTGCCCTAGAGTCTGGCTTTCTGGAGAGCAGGTGAGGGGGGAAAAGCCAGGTCAGTGAACCTCTCTCCTTAGCGAGGGCAGCTGCTGCCCAATGCATGTTCTTGCCATGCACCAGGGCATCATCCTGACCCAGATGCCAGCCACCCTGTCTCACATCCATTTAGAGAGAATCTCCATCTTCTGCCAAGACACTGCCCATGTAGATGAAAAAGTATTTTGCCTCCAAACATATCTTAAGCACTGATTTGCACCTCAATACTTCACACAGATGCCTTTGCCCAGGGCGTGTCGGCCTGGCTCAACAGCAGGGGAAGTGGAGCCAATTACATCAGTGTCAGTGGACTGAGAAATACGCCAGGGAGTAGTTCTCATGCATGACTACCAGTGGCCAGACCAAGGTAGTGCAGCCTGTGCACAAACCTGCTGCTGCTTTTCCAGAGGACTGGATTTCTGGGAAATGGCTACTGAACAGGCTGCCAGGATCCATATATCCAGATTCAGAGAGATACATCTCTGGATTCAAATGCGCTTTTTCTTTGTGCATAATTTTAGCAGTCATTGTTACTGCGCCTTGGGGATTCTAGTCATTATACTTCAGCTGACTCTCTATGGCCCTTTCTCCCCTTCACTGCTCTGTCTGAACCTGGGGAAGCAGCTCAGGCTGCAAATGAGGCAGACCTCACGGCCTGGAATTAGCATCCCCTAGGACGGCTGCCAATCAGTGATGACAAGGGAGGTGTACACATCCCGCAGCTCCCTCACCTCTCATGTGGAATAACAGAGGCATTTTTCCTGTGTTTCTATGTGGGCTTGAGCTCTCGTCATCCTCAGAGGTGGCTCCTTCTGAGGCACCTTTCACTTTCCCTTTCCCTCCTCCCCTCCCTTGCTCACTTGCTTGTTTCCCGCACTTTGTAAATATACTGCCCGCATGCGAATCTTTGGCATCCTTCTCACTGAGGGGACCCAACCTAATGCATTGGAAAAATCCTCATTCTTGGAGGGCATCGTTGGTTTGAATTATTGCCACTTCTCATGTTTTAATGCATAGGGAAATTCCAAAAATTTAGGAAATCTTTAAATTCCCTTTGCCAATCTTTCTTAGATTTGATTTTAGCAGAGATTCATTTTCTCTAGGTCACAAAATCACAGAAGCCTTCCACAAATGGCTACACAACATAGAGTCCACATAGAGCAGAGACTCAGAATCTCCCAGGATTTGACATCCACACATCAGACAGTCCTAGAGTCTCAGGTTTTTTCTAGGTCGATCGCCTCGTAAATCTGCCTTGTGATATTTTTATTCTATCTTAGGGGAAGACCATTGTGTGGATGACGAGGGTTGTTTGTGGAATGAATAATACACCCACTAAAGACATCATTGTCGTAATATTTGGAATCTATGATCATTACTTATGAATATGTCAAAAATAACTTGGCAGACATGGTTGAGAATTTTGGGGTCAGGAGAGTATCCTGAATTATCTGGGTGAGACCATCATAATCACAAGGGTCCTTATAATAGGGAAGGAGGAAGGTAACAGCCAGAGGGGACCTGGGACAACGGACAGGGAAACTGGAGTGATGGAGGAAGGGGCCATGCTGTTAGGAATGTGGGAACATCAGAAAGATGGAATGCTCGATATTGGATTCTCTCTCGAAGCCTAGAATGAATAGAGCCCTATTACTCCTTGATTTTACTTCATTGAGACTTCTGACCTCCAGAAATGTAAGATAATACACTTGTGTTATGTGGAGCAGTAAGGTTGTGGTAATTTGTTACAGCAGCAACAGGAAACCAATGCAAGGGGAAGGGGTGTGTTTTACTTCCCTAGTGTATCACTGTCCTCTGTTCTCCCAAATAGTTCTGTGTTGTTGTGTTTGCTGTCAATTTCAACAAGAGACAGAAAACATTTTTCTATGAGGAGAGCTAGCACCACAATTCTTCTTACGTAGAAAGTGTCTTGAGTAATTCTCTGGGTTAGGTCTTGTACAATCTTGGTATCTGAGAGCCTGGAGGTCATCCCTCACAGCACATGAGAAGAGGAAGGGGATGCGGGTTTGCTGTTTTAACATTTGTAGGGCAAATTAGATGTACAAGACCCATTCTTTTTATTATTATTATTGTTCTTTAAGTTCTAGGGTACATGTGCACAACGTGCAGGTTTGTTACATATGTATACATGTGCCATGTTGGTGTGCTGCACCCATTAACTCGTCATTTACATTAGGTGTACCTCCTAATGCTATCCCTCACCGCTCCCCCCACCCCACGACAGGCCCTGGTGTGTGATGTTCCCCTTCCTGTGTCCATGTGTTCTCATTGTTCAATTCCCACCTGTGAGTGAGAACATGCAGTGATTGGTTTCTTTGTCCTTGTGATAGTTTGCTGAGAATGATGGTTTCCAGCTTCATCCATGTCCCTACAAAGGACATGAACTCATCCTTTTTTATGGCTGCAAGCGAGGACTGAGTCAGAGAGATGGGGATGGCAGAGGAGACAAAATGTGGTCAGGGCCGTGTAAGATGTGACCCTGCTGCCATATCTGAAAGAAAAGCTGTTGGTGTTTGTAAAGGCTTTGGGCAAATTGTGCTTTGTAGACAAAACTGTAGAAGGGTCTGGGTTTAAGCTTAGTGTCAGCGTGATGAGGACTAGAGGTCGCAGTGAGCTTGTGTTAAGAAATCCACCCTGCACTTCTGGCTTTGTCTCTTTCCTGGTTTTATAGGTGGTGGGTGCCTCTATGGAATGAACGTGGCTCTGTGGAAGGAACATAGTTAAGGTCAGACAGACCTAGATTCCAAGTTCAGCTTCAACAACTGCTGACCACGTGACTTTTATGCAAATCAGCCATGTGCTGTCATGAACAGTTTCCTCATGTGTGAAATGGGGCACTGAGGATGTGAAGGGCTGTCCTGAGGGTTCCGCCAGCTGATGCACCATGAAGTGTACATACATGTATAGACAGACACACACACATACATGAGAAGAGTATCTAGTGCCCCTTTTATGCATTCTTGAGTAACTCAGAATGTTATGTGAGATACTAACAGTCATATGTCATTTTCAACTAAAATTATCAATATTTATCTTATAACTAACAGATGCTTCTCTGTACACTGTAGGTTTCATGTACATTTCTTCAATCACAAAATTTTTCACCAATCTATTTACGTCTAGTATCAGAAAGTTAAGCAAGGAGATTGCAAACCAACACAACACCTTTAGTCTGGATTTTCCCGGAGCCCCGTTTGTGTTAGTGTCCTCGGGCTACTGTGACAAGTTCTCAAAAATGTGGTAGCTTCAAACAACAGGAATGGAATCTCTCATAGTTCAGAAGTCCAGATCAGTTTCACTGGGCTAAGATCTTGGAGTCATCAGTTCTGGCTCCTTCTGAAGCTCTAGGGAGCAGTCTGATTTAGCTCTTCCAGCTTCTGGTGGCTTCTCTCTCCCGGGATGTGGACACATCACTGCAATCTCTGTCTCTGTGTTCACACTGCCTTCTCCACTTCAGTCTATGCTAAATGTCTCTCTACCTCTTGTTTTTTTTAGGACACTTGAGTTTGCATTTAAGTCCCAGTTGATTAATCTAAGACCATCTCCCTGTTTCAGGCTCCTTAATTTACACCTGCAAAAGCTGTTTTCCCAAATGAGATACATGCATAGTCTTCTTGGAATGAAACCTCACTATTTGGGGATGATACTCAGTACTACACCATTACATAACCAGGTCTCAGTGTTAGTCCTGTACATACATCACAATCTCTCTCTCTCTCTCTCTCTCTCTCCACACACCCTGGCTTCCTCCTTTTCTCAATGTCATCAATCTCTTCAATTCCTTAAGTGTATCCAGTGATACCTATAAACAAATAAGTATCTGAGAAAAGTCTCAATCACTTTAGAAATTTATTTGGTCAAAGTTAAAGAAATATCAGTGAAACAGCCTCAGGAGGTCTTGAGAATGTGTGTCAAAGGTCGTCGGGCTACAGGTTGGTTTTACACGTTTTAGGGAGACATAAGATATCAATCAATACGTGTAAGCTGTACATTGCTTTGATATGGAAAGGCATGACAGCCCGAAGGAGGGGGGATGTTGGGGACTTCCAGGTCATAGGTGGATTCAAAGATTTCATAGGTGGTTGAAAGAGTTTATCTAATGACCTGTAATCAACACAAGGGAGTTTCTGGGTTTAGAAAAAGGGTTTTGGAGCCAAGGTTGCATCATGCAGATGAAGCCTCCAGGTAGCAGGCTTCAGAGAGAATAGATTGTAATTGTTTCTTAGTAGACTTAAAAGGTGCCAAACTCTTAGTTAAATCTCTCTGGGTCAGGAAAGAGATTTAAAAAGGAATCTCTACAGAATGTAGATTTTTCCCACAAGAACCAGCTTTGCAGAGGCATTTTTAAATACATTAAATAACAATAGCTTGGGGAAAATACTTTGATTTCTCTTAGGACGTGGTATCTGTCACATTGGTATCTTATTGCTATGAAGAGTTTTCTTTGTCAGTCTCAAGGTCTCTGTCTTCATATTAAAAGCTGGTCAGTTGTGCCTGAATTTTAAAGGGAAGAGGGTAAGTTAAGGCATATCCAATCATCCGTTCCGATCATGGACTGCATTGTATTTCAGATTGTGTCCTTGGTTGAGAGGAGGAGTTCATTCAGTTGGTTAGGGAGCTTAGAGTTTCATTTTTGGTTTACACACCTATGTCCAGGTAAGAGCGCCCCACACAGGAGGGTTTGCTCAGAACCTGGCTTGCAGGGCTGCTTACAGACCTTCTATGTCTCCTGTTGTCATGCACAAGGAAGGACACAGCCAATGACAACCCTCAGCCATCCGGGGAGAAGCTGTGTCTGCAGAGGACGGTCATGAGCTGTGAGTCTAGAGACCTGTGATTGTCTTCAGGGGCCTGTGGCCCTCAGCTTTCATAGGAGTTGTGGGGGCACTGGCTCAAATAGCATCCACCAGGATTCTAATCAGAATAGCTCATTCACAGAAGGCAGTGGGTGATATGACAGCACAGAGGGACTCTGTGGGGCCAGCTGCATGGAGCACTCTGGGAGAGTCACTGGCACCCGTGCTAGACAGATCTTCATTCAACTTCTGGAGCACACGGATTTAGATCTCTTTACATCATTTTGAAAGACCATTTATCATTCTGAAGGAAACCACTGTAATTAACTAAGGTAACATCTTTAATAGGTAGAAAGAAAAAAGTGATTATTTTATTGCCAAGATGATTACAAGAAAAGAAACAAACAAAAATAGCATGAAGGAAAGAGCAACACTAGACTGAGGGCTTTGGGTAAGAGGTTGAGACTTAGTAGTGAATGCCCTGGGCCATCTTCTGTCAAAAGGGAGGGACAATCAGCAAAGGGAAATATGTAGTAGAGGCAAAATCTTGGTTAGTAAAAGAATCCTAAGAGAAAACAAGAAGTCTCCTTCCTGAGCATCATGTTGGTGTCGGGAAGATGCACATAATCCCCCCATTGCATGTCTTACACTTTTCAGCAATTAGGGCTCAGCATGAATTTAGAAGACACCATTCACTTCACAGCAGATGGGGACACAGTCAAGGCAGCGGTGAGAGGCAAGGCTGGGCTTTCAGTCTCAGAGCACAGAGCAGGTTCCCCACTACTCCGCACCCTGGTGTCTCCTCCCAGATGTTCCAGATGTTCCACCTCATTCTTGCCTTAAGGGCTCCAAGTTGTTAATGGGACAGTAGCCCTCTTCCTTTCCCAGGGTTTCTAAGAATTTGGCTCTCTTTTGTGTATTGTGGGGTTTGTTTGCCATCTAGAGGCAGGTTTTTGGCATAGCAACTTATAGGCTTTTTCTACTTGTGATAGCGAAAATAAATACATAAATAAATTCATCATAAATAATAAATTGACTTAATGCATTCAATCTGTAAAAAAAAAATAAGGTCAGTTTGAGAGCTTAAAAGGAGCCTGATGAGGTTAAAAAGACAAATTACCTTTAGTAAAGAGCAGTTGGAGCAATAGATGATTCTTTAATCAATGACATTTTAGGAGTAACTATCAAATGGTAAATAAAACTTGAAATAAGATGATAAACTATAATTTTATATGCAAAAAAATTTCCAAGAACCATACAAATACATTTTCAGATTAAAACAAACAAAAAATGTGGGTTTATCATCATATCCGCTAAATGGAAGATTTCTCAAATGTGTGCTTGGAGCAAAAGTAACACTTATCCCTATTTGAAAGTTCAATATTTTTGAGCTTTCGAAGAAAACAGCTTTCCCTTCACTCTGTTCCACTCACACTTCTGAGGATGGCCATGGGGCAAAAAGCCGCGGCGGTGGGGGGACAAAAAGCCGGGTCGAGCAAAAAGCCGCGGCGGCGGCGGGGGGTAAAAAGCCGCGGCAGGCAGAAAGCCGCGGAGGCGGGGGGCAAAAAGCCACGGCGGCGGGGGTGAAAAAGCCGCGGCGGTGGGTGGGGGGGCAAAAAGCCGCAGCGACAAAAAGCCGCGGCGGGGGGGAAAAAGCCGCGGCAGCGGGGGCGGGGGCGGGGACAAAAAGCCAGGTCGGGCAAAAAGCCGCAGCAGCGGGGGGTAAAAGCCGCAGCGGGCAGAAAGGCGCGGCGGCGGGGCAAAAAGCCGAGGCCGGCAAAAAGCCGCGGCGGCAGGGGGAAAAAGCCGCGGCGGCGGGGGTGCAAAAAGCCGCGGTGGGCAAATAACCGCGGCACCGGGGGCGCCAAAAAGTCGCGGAGGGCAAAAAGCCGCGTCGGCGGGGGGGGCAAAAAGCCGCGGCGGGCAAATAACCGCGGCACCGGAGGCAGGGGTCAAAAAGCCGCGTCGGCGGAGGAGCGAAAAGCCGGGGCGGGCAAAAAGCCGCGAGGGCGGTTGAGGGGCGGGGAACCGCGGCGGCAGGGGGGCAAAAAGCCGCGGCGGGCATAAACCCGAGGCGGCGGGGAAAAGGCCACGGCGTCAGGGGGCAAAAAGCCGCCGCGGCAAAAAGCCACCGCGGCGGGGGTGAAAAAGCCGCGGCGGTCGGGGGGGCAAAAAGCCGCAGCGGGCAAAAAGCCGCGGCGGCAAAAAGCCACGGCAGTGGGGGTGAAAAAGCCGCGGCGGTGGGGGGGCAAAAAGCCGGGTCGAGCAAAAAGCCGCGGCGGCGAGGGGGCAAAAAGCCGCGGCGACGCGGGGCAAAATAGTGGAGATGGGGTAGAAGGCCGGCACAGCTTGGCTTTGCTGGAGTGTGATATGATAGGAAATGTGCAGCCAAAGACAAAAAAAGATGTAAGTAGGCTTGACTCATTGCAGCCAAGAACCCAGATGTTATCTTGAGGGTTTTAACTAATAAGCAGTTTAAATCAGAATGACACATTCTGATTTGATTTTTGTATATTCACATTTGGCAGGCATAGATACCGTTTGAAGAGAAAAAAGTCAGTAGATAGAGGTAACAAACTTAAATATGTGCCGAGTCTAGAAACAAGAGACTAGGGGGATAAGGACCTTTCGAAATAAAATGCAAGATTTGACAACTGATTGGCTGGGGGATGAGGAAAAGGCAGGTCTTTAAGGTCAATCCCTGTTTTGCTTTAAGTTGTTAGGGGGTGGTTTTATCACATATTGTAGAATACGTCATTTCAGTTTTGAACATCTTGAGTTAAATCGTCCTAACATATCTTACGAATTTGATTTTCTTCCCTGGGAAGCTAATATTTCAAAAACTGAGAGTATATAGATTTCCAACTTGTATCCAATTTATAAAACTATCTCTAGGCTGCTGATTTCAGGAGGAGGCTCATGAATATTCTATTTGCAGAGAATATATCAGGAGTTAACATCAGCCTCAATATTTGTGGACGACCAGTTAACTAAGCCACCTCTTAGTGTATTTAGATGGGAAATCTTAGCTGAAGATATTCAATAATGAACCAACAGTGACTAAAAAAATTCAATATTTAAGTATATTTCATTGTAATTAATTTGAATTGAAGTAGCCATATACAGTTAGTATTTACTACATTGAACAATGCAAATAAGAGGAAAAAATTAATAACCATCTCTAATACCACATGCCAAAATCCTCATCAATTTATTCTAGCTAAAGGAGTTGATCAGAAGCAGCAGTTGAAAGCACCAACTAAACCAGCTGGGGTTAGTTCACTGTCATTCTCTCAGAACCATCTCTTCTCTGAACAAAACAAGTACAAGAGTTCATTGTGAATCTGCATTCTCCTTGCCTATTTTAAGGTTTTGATGTTGACACTAATTTGTGAAATCCCTCCTGTGGTGTGATATTTCGTTTTCCTTGCTTTTTGTTAGGACAAGAATGCTTCAGCTCTTAATTTAAAATTATGTTTCTCCCTCCTAGGTTGAGCGAACTTAGAATGCATTCTCTGACATATCCAAGTTTTTGTTAATATGAATTTGGGGAAAAAAGCATACTTAATTAGCTAAGACTTCTTATTCTAGGCTTGACCCTGTGTTCGACATCTATTGAATTTGTAGTTGCATGGGCTGCTCTCTGACACTGGTTACTGACCTGGAAGCTATATTAACGTTAGGGGAGGTGGTGTATGAGCATTAGAGGTATCCTTGCAAGGAAGGACTTGTCTTATCTCAATACGTCTTTTTTTTTGCGCACAAGAAAGTCAGTGTTTGAGTCTTCTAAAATCTTCCTATTTCCAAGTTGCAGAGTACCATTGATTCCTAAACAAAGACCTAATTTTTGACTCAGAGACGTGGCAAGGTAGTGAATCACCATTATAATTTAACAATCTTCAAGATAAAATTATCTCTCTGATATTTAGATTTTGCCCAATTATTAAGATATTTGGGTGTTTCGTTAAGAATGGAAGACTCTAGTCTCTTGAGCAGAGACTATAAAGGCCTCAGATGATCATTTCTACTTTTATGCTCTTTTCTTTAACACCTTCAACACAGTTGGAAGCAGCCGATATTCCCCAGAGTTGTTGTGTTTTTTAAACCAAATGCATGGTTTAGTGGTAGAAAACTGGGCTGATCCAAGCTGTTTTCAGTAAACACTTCATTTCAGGTGACCTATTTCATATTAAATAATCTCTAGATCCTGTCTTCGAAACTAACTAGATCAGATAACCTACCCTGGATTTTCTCCTTTTAGGGTCTGTGAGCTGCAGTCACTTTTGTGAAAATGATTGCAATGACAAGATAGAGTTGTAGATGGGGAAAATGTTTTGACTAATTTAAGCATAGTGGCATTTCATATGAGAATTTAAGTTACACACATTTGAAAATTATAATGGAGTCTCTTGGCTGAGCTTTAAAAAAAAATAGCGTTTAGGCTAAACAGGGAACTGCTACCTCTCCTAAAATCAGAAAGATGTTACAGTAATTCTCCATTCTCTAGAATTATCAGGAAGCACCTTTGCGATGATTTACTTTTGTTCTTGGGAGTGTGAGCCCGTGTAGTCTTGGAACCATCAATTAGAATGATGGCTTTCTGATCCCAACGTCATTCGTTCTGAAAACAATATTTTTCATAAATTTGAAAGTGAGAAGTTTTGATCTTGCCACTCCCAAGTAACTCTCTTAATAAGAGGCATCAGCATGCTTCAGTGACAGCTGTCACTTTCCAGTGCTGAGAGTCGTCTTTGAGTTCTCCATTTCACTCCCTACACTCCAGTTTAGCTGCAGTTCTCTTGGCCAGTCCTATGAAATACATCCATGGCCTAACGACTTCTCACCACTACTACCACTCATCCTGACAGCATTCTCACCTAAGTCACTACCTTTTTTCTCTGGATTAGAGTAGCCTCCCAATTTATTTGCTCACAAAACCTATTTATTCTACACGGTGCACCAGATACCACCCCTTTGAAATGCAAACACAATCATGTTATTCTCTGGTTAAATTATCTCATATATTCCTATCGCATTTAAAATTAATTCAGAATAATCCCCTGATTATCAAAACCCTACATGCTCTTCCACAATATGGTTTACTTCCAAGATATCTCTTCAACTTTTTTTCACTGTACTGAATTGGTGACTAAAAATCATATTTTTGTTTTTGCTCAAAAAGTCTTGACTTGTAAATTTTTCAGTTTCTCCTTTATCCACAGGTAACTCTTTCCTCATAAGGCGAATTGCTTGCTTCCTTGAGTTCTGCTCTCAAAGATACCCTTCATTTTCTACCTAATATTAATAACTTTAATCATTCATTATTCCATTACTATGCTCTATAGTGTATACAATTTCTGTTCTTTGTCATGTTATTAACTAAATTATTTATTTGTTCCAGTAACGAATTCCACAAATATTGTACACATAAAAATTATGTTATTTTTATTGCTGTATGCTCAGCTGCCCAATAACAGTCTGAGGATTAACATATTTGTTAAATGCACAAATACGTTCTTTCACAAATATTAGTTTAATAATTTTATATTAAGCTCCCTCTATACTTACAATATGAATTAGATAATTGAGAATAAACATTCCAGTGGAAAAAACTAAACAATTTGTTGTAAAACATCCTTAAAAGCATCAGAAAGTTAATACAGCAATGAAGAATTACAGGACCAAATTAAGAATGGTATGGAAGCCTGTTTGTGAGGCTTATGTTTGGGTTATCTCTTTACTTAGAGAGACTATAAATGTCAAAAGAGGATTAAAGGGAGAAATAACCATATCAACTCACATGGTAAGGGTATGCAAACATCTCTTAGTAATGGAGAAAATTGAAAGAAAAGAAAAAAGAGAAAGGGAGAAAGAGAAACAGAGCGAAAGGGATAATGAAGGAGAGAAAGAAGAAGAGAAGGGAAGAGGAAGAAAAGTAAAAAGGAGGAGGAGGGAGAGGGAGGAAGAAAGAAAGGTGAAAAGAAAGAATGCTAAAGTTTTCAACAACATAATTTATCCTTCCAGAATATGAATGTCGGTCTGTTTGATGATGTCCCACAGATTCCTTAGTCTCTGCTCATTTTTTATCTGTTTCTCAGAGTCAATATTTTCCATTTTCTTATCTTCAAGCTCATGACTTCTTCTGTGTGTGCAAATATACTCTTAAATCCCTCTGGTGATTTTTAAATTTTTATCGTTGTAGTTTTCCACTCCAGAATTTCTGCTATCTCTGTTGATATTCCTACTTTTTAATATTTTTTCTGAATCCTTTATTTCTTTGTTTATGTTTTCCTTGTGACATTTGAGTATAATTAAGAGAGTTGTTTTAAAGTCTTTGTCTAGTAAGTTTGAAGTCTGGGTTTCCATAGAGATATTTTCTGTCAGTTTGTTTTGTTCCTTTGAATGAGCCATACTTTCCCATTCTTTGTATGCCTTGTAACTTTTTTTGAAAACTGGGCATTATAATAATTATAATTACTATGTGGTTACTCTGTGAATCAGACCCTCCCCCACAAACACAGTAATGTTTTGGGGTTTTAAATTTTCTTTACTTATTATATTGTTAAGGTTTTTTTTTAGTGAAATTTTCCAAAGTGATTTACAAAACTGTTTGCTTTATAAGGTGTGGTCATGGAAGTCTTTTTGTTTCCTTAACAAATGTTAAGCTAATGTTTTGACAGTGATTTTCTTGTATGTCAGGAAGTAAGCAAGCAGGCAAATACAACAAAAACAAAAAGAAAAACAAGTAATCATTGTCCAGCAAAATATGTCTCTAGGCCATGCAGACTGGCTTTGTGCTGGGTTCTTTAAAGCCGGCACAAAGTGTGTGTTCACTCTTGCACTGAGTGAAGTTCAAGTTCACTCTTGCACAGAGCTTGCACTGAGGGGAGGGATCGGCCAAGGTAAAAGTGTAGGGTCTTCTTATGACATTTGTCAGCATGTGGCTTAACCTGTGCATACATGTGACTTTCTAGACTCTCCCATGTACGTGAATGATTTTGAATGTCTTAGTTTTCCAAATACTCTTCTCCAACTTTTCTTCCTGTGCTGAAGGTGATCTACTATATGTGTAAACTCTAATTTTTGCCCTAAGCATCTGTGGTTTGTTAGGTCTCCTTGCAGAGTTTCTCGATAATGTCCATTCCTTATCTGTTCTGTATTCTAGCAACACAGAAAAACAAAAGCCTTTCATGAGTCCTTTAGGTATCCCCCAGACCAGTCAGAACAGACACATAGTAATTTGCGAGTAAGATCTTCTCTTGTTCCTTTGGACCATGGACCAGTGTTCCTCACTGGGAACGTGGGCTCCTGACACTTCAAAACTGCCAATTTGCTGGGGCAAAGGCAAGTTAAAAATGTCATAAAGTTTTCAAGTTGTCTTTTTCTTGAGTCTGCTTTCACTCGGTTGTTGTAATCTTTTGACTATTTTCCAGAGTTTTGGCAAAGTTTATTCGGACAGTTTCTCTTAGTTGTGTGATGTTTCTGTGGGGAAATGAAAGATTGCAGCTGTCTCCACTGCCATTTTGCTGATGCTCCTCTTTTGTCAATTTTTGCTTCATGTTATTATGCTTTGTTATTAGTTCATGTATTAGTTTTCTAGGGCTGCCATAACCAAGTAACACAAACTGGGTGCCATGAACAACATACATTTATAGTCTTATAGTCCTGGAAGCTAAAAGTCTGAGATTGAGGTGTCAGCAGGGATGGTCCCTTCCAGGGCTATGAGAGAAAGCCTGTTCTATGCCTTGTTTCTCGCTTCTGATGGTTTAGTGGCAGTCTTTGGCATTCCTTGGCTAATCTCTGCCCTCATAATCACATGGTACTCTCCCTGTGTGTATGTCTCCCTCTACTCAAAGTTCTTCTTTTAATAAGGACATCAGTCATACTGAATTCAGGCTCATCTGATTGTATCTTAACTTGATCAGCTGCAAAGAACCTATTTCCTAATGAGGTCATATTCAGTGGTTAGAATTGCAGCATCTATATAGAGGAAACAATTTAGCTCATA
Source organism: Homo sapiens (assembly GCF_000001405.40). Lineage (NCBI taxonomy): Eukaryota > Metazoa > Chordata > Mammalia > Primates > Hominidae > Homo > Homo sapiens. The sequence continues at coordinate 94,279,379 of NC_000002.12, forward strand.
TCTGTGCATACATGATTGTAATAGCTATGTCTTCCTAAAGCGTTGACCCCCTTTTTACTACAATATAAATTTTTAAAATCCTATTCACATTTTTAATAGTCTATATTGTGTGTTATGAGTATAATGAGTTCAGTGTTCTTATGATTGCTCTTTGCATGATATTTTTTGTCATCTTTTTACTTTCAATCCATTAGTATCCTTGCATCTCAGCGTATATTGGGATCACTTGTTTTAATCCAGTCTGACAATCTCTGCCTCTGGAATGGATTTTAATCTGCTCACATTTAAGATTATAATTGGTATAATTCTATTTATGTCTGCCATTTTACCGTTTGTTTTATATATTTCTCAAATATTTTTCTTTATTGCTTTATTTTGCAATGAAAGAATATTTTCTAAAATAGGGAACTTTAGATTACTAATGAATTATTTTATTATATATTTTTGGGAATGTTTGTTGTTGTTGTAAGTTTACCATATAGGTATATGGAAAATTAATTATTCAAATCATCTTCCAATTTATACTAGTAAACTTTTAGTAATACATAGAAACATCATTCTTATATAAATCTCTTTTATTTCCTCCATTTTAAAGTATTATCACTTTACACATTACATCTATTAAAGTTACAAAGCCAACAATACATTTTAGTAATTATTACTTTACCATCTAGAGTGATTACCTTATCACAATACATTTTTCTTCCAACTACCTCCTTTTTGATGTTACTGGAAAATATGTTATAGACGTATTACATTTCTACATGTCAAAAACTCAGCAATACATTATGCACATATTATTATTATTATCATTGAGACGGAGTCTCCCTCTGTCACCCAGGCTGGAGTGCAGTGGCACAATCTCCGCTCACTGCAAGCTCCATTTCCCGGCTTCATGCCATTTTTCTGCTTCAGCCTCCCGAGTAGCTGAGACTACAGGCGCCCGCCATCACGTCCGGCTCATTTTTTGTATTTTTAGTAGAAACGGGGTTTCACTGTGTTAGCCAGGATGGTCTCGATCTCCTGGCCTCGTAATACGCCCGCCTTGGCCTCCCAAAGTGCTGAGATTACAGGTGTGAGCCATCGTGCCCGGCCATTATACACATGTTATTTAATAAACAATTTATGATAAAGAGAAAAAATGCATTTTTACTGTCTTTTATAATGTCAATATTACCTATACCAGTGCTTTTTTAAAAATGTGGATTCAAGCGACTGTCTTCTGTAACTTGCTTTTAGCCTTAGGAATTTATTTTAGAGTTTTTTTTTAACGTGGTAGGTCTGCCAGCAACAACTTCAGTTAATATTTCTGTTTATCTGGGTAAGTCTTTGTGTTATCTTCATTTTTGAAAAATAATTGCTGGATAAGGAATTCGTGGCTGAGAGTTTCTTTTCCTTTGCATCTTTTGAATATATTATTCTACTGCCTCTTGCCTTCCATTGTTTCTCTTAAGTCAGCTGTTAATCTTACAAAACATAGGTGCTCAAAAAATAAACATGTGCATGAATATTTACAGCAGTAATATTCATACAGTCAAAAAGTGGAAACAATCCATATGCTTGTTGACTCATAAATGGACACCAAATTTTCAGCTATAACAAAGAATGAAGTACTTATATATGGTATAATATTGGTGAAATTTGAAAGCATTATGTTAAGTGCACAAAAGGACAAATATCACTTGATTTTATTCACATGAAACATCAGGAATTGGCAAATCAATTGGGATGTAAATTAGATTAGTGGTCATTAGGGCTCAGGGAAGCAGAATAGGGTGTAACAACTTTATGCATAATGGGTTTTTGGAAGGGACATGATGAAATTGCCCTGGAACATTGTGAATATACTAAAAGCAAGTGCATTGTATGCTTTAAAATGGTTGTTATTAATTTTATATTATGTGATTTTTACCTTAAAAAAAGAGAAAATAGCCTTACTCTATACATAATAAACTCAAGATATGTTACAAATTTACATGTGAAATCCGAAATACTATAATATTTAAGGAATAGCTAAGTAGAATAACACTGAAATTTAACATAATGAAACATTTCCTTAAAAAAGAAAAAAGCACAGTAATTAAAAAGGAAAATAATATTTTTTCTCTCCATTAAGCATGCCATTAACTGAGTAAAAGAATCAAGCTGCAATTATGTAAACTACGTTTTCTAAAACCATAAAGAAAAGAAGAAATAAAAAGGTATTTGGGAAAAAAATCCAAAGGTACAGTCAACTACACAAAAAAAGCTTAGTCTCATTAATCATTATGAAAATGCAAATGGTAACTGAAAGAAGATAAAACTACAATTCAAAGAGAAAGCCTAAAATTTCAACCCCCCAAAAAGTCTGGGTTTTGGAGATCTGGGATGGAATAGGGTTCCTAACCTGACAACAATGAAAGAACCAAACTAACCTCAAAGTCATGACTTTATTTTTATAGCAACGAGGTTGCCAAGAACTGAGTCAAAATGTGAGGGAAAACAAGCACCTGCAAGGAGAAAGAGGACAGATGCACTTACATAGGACAGATGCAAATAGACACCACTATGACAAGTAAAGCTGGAATAATCAATAAATTCCTAAAGACAAAGTGGGGCTGGTCAGATTGGGAGACGGCTGACAGCTGCAGAAGTTGGGAAAGATCCATCATCTTGAAAACTTTTTCTCCACAAACCCACTGTGATCTCTCAAGCAATTGGTAAGGAATCCAAGAGAGTCTGTATATGACACAGATCAGGGAGAGCAGAACACTTGGGAGGTGACCAGGTCTTGGGGGCCGAGCCCTTATGAATCGGATTAGTGCCTTTATAAAAGAAGCTCAATGGAGTTCTTGTGTGCCTTCCACTATGTGAGGACATAGAAAGAAGGCACCATCTATGAACCATGAAATGGGCTCTCATCAACACTGAATTTGTGAGCATCTTGACCTGAGATCTTACAGCCTCAAGAAGTATGAAAAAAGAAATATCTGTTGTTTTTTAGTCACCCAGTTTATGTTATTTTGTTATAAGAGTCCAAATAGACCAAGATATTCCACTTAATATGTAGGGGAAGGCAACAAAAACTGCCACACTTAGAATACTCCTGATGCTGGGAGTATGAAAACAGGAAAAACAAAAACAAAACTGCTCTTGAAGGTGAAGGAGGAATATCACTGAGCTCACCAACACAGCCAGGAAAAGAACAGAAGTGTGAGAAGGCTACATTCCTGAGACCCTGAGAAAAAGTAACCTGCATAAGACAGAGATGAAATTACCTACTCTAGTTATGATTGAAATCCCAAAAAGAAAACAGGGAAAAATAATGGAGCAAAAGAAATATTTTTCAAAATAACTGCCAAAAATATTCTAAAAGAAGTGACAGAAAATCAAACTTCAGATATAGGAAACTCAGAGAATGTCAAATAGAACAAAAAGAAATAAGAATTCCATCTTGAAAAATCTTTGAAAAATCTTTAAAAAATCAAGTCTAAATTTTATATCTTGCTCCAAATATATAGAGATATAAATAGGTTATCATCAAGATATGGAGAAAGCCATATCATGGAAACACTAAAATAAGGCTGTGGAAGGACTACATTGATATTAGACACAACAGAGTTCGGAACAAGAAATAGTATCAGAGATGAGAGACAATAGATAATAGAATAATCAGTTCTCAAGAAGATGTAAACATCCTACTAATTAGGGTATGCAGCTAACAACAGAGCCTCCAAATACGTGAGGTAAAACACGAAAGAAATCAAAGGTGAACTAGAAAAATCCAAAATTATATTTGCAGACTTCAACACTTTTGTCTTAGTAATGGAAAGACTAGGCACAAACTCAGTAATCATGTGGAAGATAAGAACAACAGTATCACCAACAAGACATCCAATCTTCAATGGCAGATACTCTTTCCTTTCAAGTGAAAAAAAAAAAACAGTATGGCATATTCTCTAACAAACACAGAATTTCTAATATTTGCGGTTTTCCTTCCTTCTTTCCATCTTCCTTTGTCTTCTCTTCCCTTCCCTTGCCTTCTTCCTTCCTTTCTTCTTTTCCTCTTCCTTTTTTCTTTTTTCTTTTCCTTTCTTTCTTTTTCTTTTTTCTCCTTCCTTCCTTCTTTCCTTCTTCCCTCTTATTCTTCCTTCCCTCCTCCCTCCCTTCCTTTCTCCCTCCCTTTTCTTCCTTCTTTTCTCGTATTCTTTCTTTCTTTCTCACGTTCTTGCTTTCTTTCCTTTTTTCTCCCTTCCTCCCGCCCTCCTTTTCTTCCTTCCTCCCTCCCTTCCTTTCCTCTTTTTCCCTCCTTCCTTCCTTCGCCTCTTTATTTTCTTTGTTTCATTGCCTTCCTCCCTTTTACCATTCTCTCTTCCTCCTTTTCTTCCTCCCTTCCTCCTTTCTTTCTTTCTCTCTTTCTCTTTCTTTCTTTCTTTCCTTCCTTCTTTCTTTCTTGTGTTCATGTTTTCTTTTTTCTCCCTTCCTGCCTTTCTCCCTTCCTCCCTCCCTCCCTTCCTTCCCTCATTTCCTCCTTCTTTTCCCTCTTTTTTCTTTATTTCCTTCCTTCTTTCCTTCCTTCTTTTTCTTTCTTTGTTTTCTTTTCTTTCTTTCTCTTTACTACAATTCATATTATTTTAAAAAAATTAAGACAGGGAGACAGAAAAATAAAGAACGCTTTAATCTGCAGGTTAAATAGATTATGTCTGCTGTAGGCAAAAGAATGGCCTCCCAAAAATTTTCATGTCCTAATTCCCAGAGTCTAACATACAAATATGTTAGGTTGCACGGCAGTGTGAAATTAGATTTCAAGTGAAATTAAGGTTGCGGAAAAATGATAGAGAGATTGTCTTAAATGGGTGGGATCAATGAAATCACAAACTTCCTTATAAGTGAAAGAAGAAGACAGAAGAAAGGCAACCTTGGGGGTGGTGGCATGAGAAATTACTCAACATCACTGACTTTTAAGATACAAGAATGAGGACCCCAGCGCGGTGGCTCACGCCTAATCCCAGCACTTTGGGAGGCTGGGGTGGGTGGATCACGAAGTCAGGAGATCGAGACCATCCTGGGTAACATGGTGAAACCCCATCCCTACTAAAAATACAAAAAATTAACTGGGCATGGTGGCAAGTGCCTGTAGTCCAAGCTACTCAGGAAGCTGAGGCAGAAGAATCACTTGAACCCGGGAGGCAGAGGTTGCAGTGAGCTGAGATCATGCCACTGCACTCCAGCCTGGGTGATTCCATCTCAAAAAAAAGGGATTCCATCTACAAAAAAAAAAAAAGAAGAAAAGAAAAATAGGATATAAGAATGAGGTCATGTTCCAAGGAATAAAGGTGTCCTCTGGATGCTGAAAAAAATCAAGTAATGGATTCTGCCACATAGCTCTCAGAAAGACTGCAGCCCTGCCCAAAACTTGATGTTAGCCCTGTGAGTTTCATTCAAGTCTTCTGAACTACAGAACTGTAGGATTAACGGTCACTTTATTGTAAGATATGAAGTTTGTGGTAATTGGTTACAGCAGCAAGAGGAAGTTTATATTGTAATTGTATCAGGAAAATGAGAACCATAATTTACAACTGCTTTTAATACTGCACTTGGATGTTTGAAATCACGTACATGGAAATGAGCTCTATGTGCATGAGGGAGGATAGCAAATTGATGCCAAAATAATGCAAATGCAAATCTTACACTCATTTCTATGTAGGTTTCATTTAATCTTTGAAATTAAAGTGAAATTAAAAGATTGTGATATTTTGATGAAGTTAGACTAAAATGAACAATAACCAAATAAGAACTCACTTACATTCTTTATATGGTCAATAAAGAAGTGATAGTGGAAAAAAACAAGATCAAATGAAGGTGATGATTTAGGAAGTTGGAAAGATAGCTGAAACTACAAAATGGTATATAACCAGTGAACACTTAGACACACTGATTGATGAACTTCAGCTTTTGGCTTGGTGAGAGCATAAAATGAGAGCAGCTGAGGTTTGCAAATTTGTAATCTCCTTGTGGAAAAACAGGGGAAAACACATCTCAGCCTAATAAGATTTATCTACTAAAGAGTCTAGACTTGATCCATTTGTCCTTGTAATTCAAAAGCTAATTCAAATACTGATTTGATGTATTGTGTGAACAACCATTGCTGATTATCATCGCATACCTGGCATTCTCTTTTATCTGATATCTAAAATATTTGGTAATTCCTGGACTTTCTCTTTTCAAACCCAGTACGGTTTAATTTGAGTGTTAGAACAGTTGTCTTTGAGAAATTCTTCCCTCTACTGCATCTGTGAATGGGCATAGCATGGTTACATACATACTGTCACTCCATAGAACATTTGTTAAATTAAAGCCAAAGTTTAAAGCAAGAGCTTTAACTTACTGGTTTTACTAATGTTTTCCTCCCCAATAGCCACAACAATATTGATACCCTCACACCTTTTAACATAAAGCTTGGTGTTGTCTATTTTTCAGGTGCTGTCATCTATATGATCTCAGTATTTTAAAAATCAGCTTCCAGCCCATATGGTGGCTCATGCTTGTAATACCAGCAGTTGAAGAGGCTGAAATGAGAGGATTCCTTGAGCCCAGGAGTTCAAAAGCAACCTGGGCAACATAGAAAGACCCAGTCTCTATCAAAAGTTAAGAAAAAAAAAGTGGGCATGGTGATGTGCACCTGTTGTCCTAGCTATTTGGGAGGCCAAGGTGGAAGGATTGCTTGAGCTTGGGAGGCTGAGGCTGCAGTGAGCAGTGATTGCACCACTGCACTCCAGCCTGGGCAACAAAGCAAGACCCTATCTCAAAAAATATATATAATAAAAATAAAAATCAGCTCTCATTGATTTCTATGTAAATATGCACAGGTGATGTCCATATAGACATAAATAATAATATTTCTGACCATGGGTCCATATGATCTTCAAAATGTAAAATGCCTATCTGTGTAATTGACTGGTTAGTCTCATTAATGAATATAGATTCAATTCTACTTTCTTGTTCTAGATAAATTATATAATCTAGCTTTTCATTTCACTTATTTACTGATAACAACAGGAAGAATGACAAGATATCTATTTTGGAAAATTACTCTGGTAGGAGTAAAGATGAAACAATGATAGAATTGCACGGAAAACTAGAAAAAAGTATGGTCTTCTGATATTCTATCACATCACATACTAAAGGCCTCATAAAACTCAGATATTTTATCTAAAAATGTTATTTTCATCATAGGAATGATCAAAGCATGAGACTACAATTGTATTAAAATGTGCTTGTATCACAAGCACAGGTGCTAAAAAGGAGGGGAAAACATCCTTACTGATATTTTCAACGTATGTTTTACTTTTCATCAACATGAACCTCAAGTTGATATGATGCAGATTGAAGGAAATCACCCATAATTCCATATGAAGAAGGCCTGTGATATTTTATGGGAAAATAAATAGAGAAAATGCTAACAGAAACCCTATTAAGCATGAAGCTTTATGGAGTAAACACAAATCCAGTGGTGAATGATACACACTCCAGTTCTGTTTGTTGTCTTGGAACAATACGGTTTAGAGGTGACTGGCGGGTGAGGAGAACATATGCGAGTTCACCAAAGAGAAAAGCTGAATGAGGCAATGCCTCTTCCTGACCATATCTCTTACTCAGATAACTATATAATTTATTGTCCAGTAAAGGGTATATTAAAAAATCATATTAAAAGTCATGCAGTGAAGTTGTCCAGGGAAATCAAGACTTAACAGTCTCACTCTGACAATAATGAACAGGGGGATTCCCTCAAGATAGACTAGGACATGACCCCACACTGGCAGGTAGTAGTACCAGAAAAGAACCCATGGAAAATCTTTACCTTATGCTTGAGGTAGGGACCAGGCTAAAGTGAAAGCCAGACATAAAATTCTATCTAAAATAAATCCACAATCGAAGAAAATATGTGGTGTACAGGCATAGAATGTCTTTACTGGATCATTGAAATAGTAAGATAAATTCAACTTTTACATTGTTTTCTTTTCCTCCAGTTAGGGCTTGAGGTTTGCCTCTGGAGAGTGACCGTCAATTGGAGCCCTGCCTTTCTGGGGTTCTGATCAGGGGGTTGTGGATGCTTAACATGTGCTTTTCACAGGACACTTCCTTACCCCAGCAGTGGCCAGGTGTGCATCCCACGACCAGGCCTCCCTCTCACAGAACATCTGTTGAGACTAGGAGATGCCTGGTGACTGTTGCCTGACCTGTGTCCTGTGTATTTCTGACAAGAGCCACTCTCAGAGACCCTGGCCAGGAGGAGAGTTAGGTTCCAGTGTAGGTCAGCTCAGACACATGGAGGCCACAGAACCAAACATGGGAAATCACAGAAGTAGGTTTATTACTCACAGATCCAGAGAGAAGAGGGTAGCTGAGAAGAGGGTTTAGCTGTGTCCCCAGCCAAATCTCATCTTGAATTCCCACATGTTGTGGGAGGGAACAGGTGGGAGGTAATTGAATCATGGGGGCAGGTCTTTCCCATGCTGTTCTTCTGATAGTGAATAAGTCTCACAAGATCTGATGGTTTTATAAAGAGGAGTTTCCCTGCACAAGCTCTCTTGTCTTGTCTGCTGCCATGTGAGACGTGCCTTTCAGCTTGCGCCATGATTGTGAGGCCTACCCAGCCATGTGGAACTGTGCGTGTATTAAACCTCTTTCTTCTAGAAATTACCCAGTCTTGGGCATGTCTTTACCGGTGGTGTGAAAATGGACTAATACAGTAGCACACCTCATAGGGCTGAACAAAATGGGGAAGATGAGTGGGGAGCGGGAGAGAGAAAAGGGGTCTGTGGGACTCTAGCTTTTATTGGGCCCAGAACATTACCCAAATAAGTTTTCCACGGGGCACTAGTCGGTGGGGTGAGTGCCAGCAGGCACATTTCTTGACTCCCGCTGCAACCGAGCAGGTCACTCTGGCGTGTGGGGGCTGTCCATGTGCGCTGTGAGGTCTGTGGGGTGAGTCAGGTAGGTTGTATCCAACGGTTCCATAGCTGGTAGTCACCAGGAGGAGGCAACTGTGTAGGGTCAATATCTGGGCCAGCCACACTGAGGAACTGTGAGGGTTAGAACTGGAAATTGTCAAGGGAATCTGAACCCAGCTACCATATGAGAGAGTTCAACTTATGTTCAATGTGAATGCCATGGCAATATTAAAAGGTAAGAATTCGCTCCATACGTGCTTGAGGTAAATAGGAGAAACCTAGAATTTATGTAAACAGTGAGAAGATTGGATGCCTTTTCCATCACATATTTTAATACTAGCAGCATATTATATATGTCAATCCATCAGGCATTCAGAAATACATGCTTATGAAAATTTTTTGCACCATCAGACAAAAGACAAGGGTAGAAGACATTTGTAACCCTATAAACACTAGTAAATTAAAAACAGAAGGACCTTTATGTCCTAACATATCTGCGTTGTGAAAGGCTGCCCTGTGAAATACGGGATTTCTTAAACATATTTTAAAAATCATAGGTGTCAATATTTTTTAGAAATCCATTTAAATTTTCTCTTGCTATTTTACAATGCCTATTTATTTATTTAGTGGCTCTGCTGATTTTGATGTATATCCTAAACTTTATATTTTCTTTAAAGGATGTTTTATACAACTTTATGTAAAATGTTTCAGTATCTTCACATTCTCTCCCTGTCCTTTTGTTTTGCTCTTATATGGTGGTCTTGAGTCTTTTCTCTGGCTTTTCAAACCTAGTAAGACTAAGACACTAAAGTAACTTTGCCCGTGGTTTGGTAATGCCTTCTAAAGCACATCCTAAGCTCTCGTGCATACAGGGGTCTCCCTTGAGCTCTGTGCTTTTGAGATCCCATATACCTAAATTCCAGTACTCCAAATCAGTACTGCTCAGTTTTAGTTACTAAGTTTAAAAATGTCTTTTAATAGCAAGTTAGTTAAGTGCACTCTTGCTTCTTTCTTGACTGCTTGTATACGTGTATATTCCTTTAAATGAATCTTGGAATTTATTTAAAAGTTTTAAATTATACTAATGAAACTGTATATTGTTGTGAATTCATAAGTGAATTTGGAAAGAATTTGTCTTTATGACACTAAATCCTTTTTATCCAAGAATCATATGTGTCTTTATATTTATTCCAGTCTATGTTTATATCACTGAGTAAATATATAGAAATGTAGATACATACAGCTGTAGTTATAGATACAAATATAGATATAACATGTTAAATCTATATCTATCCCATATAACATATATACATGTCATATGTGTGTGTGTATATATATATATGTTTATGTTATTAAAGAGCTCCCTTAAAATTTTTCTTTTATTTCCTATATAATTTTAGGTCGAGCTTGAATTTTCCTTGTATAAACAAGCAAATATTTATACTAGTTTTAATACTGATGTTTAGACATTGTATCTTATTTTAGCATTGAATATTTTCACAATTATTATAAATATTATCTAATATTAATAATGTACCTGTTAAAAATATTTAAAATTTTACCTTTGAATTATTTTATTGTTGAATTAAAATTCCTTTAATATGATAGTAAATTTCTATTTTATGCTTTCTCTATGCATATGCAAATTAATCTATCCACTTCTCTATCTCTATGTAGTAACATATGAAAATCAGGCCTCTATTCTTCTAATGGACATACACATGTTTGCGTATAGAATATCAGACTCTTTATAGCATTTAAAATCTTTAAAGACATGAATATTGCCTTTTAACAAATATATTTTAGCATGTACTGAGAATCCCCTATTTATTTTTAATTTGGGCTAATCAATATGATTGTTAATATTAGTGGATTACCAAATTTGGAAACACACTTTCACCCCCAAGGTGGATATTTGTTTTATTTTGTTTGCCAATTTCTTGTCTTACTGTTTCAAATATTGTTGGATATTATTTTTATTTTATTTGGCATTTTAGTATCAACATTTGCAATTGATGTACTCTACATATTTTTTCTTCAATATCTGGTGGGTTTTATAATTACTGCTATATTGGATTTGTAGTAGACATTGACAAAAATTATTCCTGTATGTTTTATAGCTGTATGAGGGAAACTAATATATTTTACCCCTAAATATATTTCCTTGATATATTTCAAAATGGCTATTGAGAAGGGCTGGAAATGCAAACTTAGCTGCAAAGCTGTCTTGGGGAGATTTGCGTCAGTAGAGAATCTGCCTTGATGCAGCCAGGCTTTCTCTGAGGTCTGCCCCCTTGTCTGGATCTAGGAAAGGTTAACTGAGAGTCTGAGGTCTCCAAAGGTCTGAAAGAAACATTTTTTCTCTATTCTCTCTGAGGACTGCTCCCAGTGAGGTTCCACCTATGTAATAAGCCCACTGTCGCTAGCCAGGGTCGTTTTCTCACATAACCTTTTTTTTTCCCCTGTGATCCAAGACCCCATTCTTTCTGTAAACTTCATGTGGTAGATGAGCTTCTGCACGCATCGTGTGTCTGGGTCTTCGTTCTAAGGGCTCCAGTGTACACACATTGCAGAAACCTGTATGCCTTTTCTACTATTTATCTGCCTCCTATTAGTGATTTTCAGGGAAACTTCAGAAGGCAAAAGGGACATTCTCCTTTAGCCCATTCTCAGACAAAATCCCCCAACATTTAACTGATTCCTAATAGCTTAAAATCACTTTGAAAAATCCATATATTTATAACCTTTTCTTCCCTCTATGATTTCTGGTCAGCTTGGGTTTTGTTTTTCATTCCATTTACTTCATCCTCGAAAAGATCTATATTTATTCTCGTTTATGGACATTGAGAAAAGAAAATAACTTTCATGTGAGAAATGCAAGTCCTTTTAAATAATCAGGCCCAGAGAGATATTCAAATGAGACAGCAGTTCTGTCCTGCTCCTCTTTGAGCTGTGTGTTCATCTAGGCTGCTTGCAGTTGCCACAGTAGCTATAAATTAACCAATAACGCCACTCCAGACACTATAATACACACCCAATAATAGTGTAACAGTGTATAGCCAGTCACTAATAAATGTTATTTCCATAAGCCAATGAGAATTTGTGACAAACCTCTTTGGATCATCCCACTTCTGGACCCTTTTTTGCCTTTAAGAAACTGCTTGTTGCAAAGCTCCAAAGGGAGTTCATATCCAAGGATACGTGGGTCTGTTTCTTCCAGGCAGCTGTCCTCATTGTGGCTCAAGTAAACTCTTTGAATTACGTTTTGTGCTTCAGCCCCTTCCACTTAGATTAACAACATGGATTTGTGTCACCATGTACGGCAATTAAAATGTTCACACTTTTCCCCTCGAGGGCACTGATGTGTTTTCCTGAGCACTTGGAATAGCTACGTAGTGTTTGCTGTCTAGATTATGGTTTCTCAACCTTGGTGCTACTTAACTTTAGGACCAGAGGATTCTTTGTTGTGGGAGGCTGCCCTAGCAATGCTAGGTGTTTCGTTTGACCTCTAAATTTCACACCTCCACCAGTCTTGACATCCCCACAATAACCCTAGACATTGACAAATGTCTCCTGGGGAAAACTCTCCACCAGTTGACAGGCAAAGTTCTGGAAATGTTGGAATTGTCAATTGAGATTTTATGTTATCCAAAACAAATATTTTTCTTTGTTTTTAAACATCTACTTCCATCTACTTATCTACTTATTTTACTTTTATTGGTAACTTAATTCCATCAAGGAGAGAGAGTGCATTTTCTGTTATGCTAAACTTTTGAAGAATGTATTGATTTTTTATGACCTGATATATGGATGATATGTAGATATTACATGTTTGTATTATCAAATTTCAGGGCGATAATACAATAAATACTTATAATATTTATATTGTCACTGTATATTAGTTATTTTCTTTCTTCACTACAGGAGTTTTTCAACCTATAGGCTATTTTTCAATTCTAGGTTATCCAGTAGATTTTGAAATGTTATGATTAAATATCTACTTCTCAAGCATTCATCTTTGCAAATAAAACAATCCCAAGCTCTTATAATGCACATCATATAAAGGGCAGATTAGTCAACGTATGGTTCAGAAATAATTATGTAATATTTATAATAAAATTAAAAATTTAGATCCTTAACTCAGATAACAATAATCCAAATTAAAATTTGATTTCATTACATAATTTAAAGTGACACCAGAATACTAGTAAAAATGTAGATTAGTTTATATCATCTTTTTTAGCTGTAGGACTTTATTAGCATAAATTCAAATACAGGAACCAAAGTAAGATTGAGACCTATAGTCAAAGGTTAAAATGTACACATTATAGGGGCATGATTAAACTAATTTAAAGCATAATAACATGGAGAAATATTGCAAAACATACATTTTACTGAATTAATTGTTAATATCTAATCATTATGTGAGAACAAAATTAAAGAGTAGCTACACAGGCACACACCCACACACAAGTGCAATATTGTCAAATAAACGATGTTCAGCTACACTAGCAATCACACCTGTGTTTTCTCCACAGAAAAGATTAAAAATCACAATAATATTTATTGTACATATGGAGGTGAAGATACTCAAAATATTACCCTAAATACATTTTTTTTTTTGAGATGGAGTTTTGCTTTTATTGCCCAGGCTAGAGTGCAATGGCACAATCTTGGCTCACTGCAACCTCAGCCTCCCAGGGT